>NC_000006.12:94266096-94417035 GCF_000001405.40 Homo sapiens | reverse complement strand
AAATTCACTATAATATAATTCTTGCAGATAAGAGCCTTCCATTTACTTTTTGATTCTGTGAAGGCCATTTTTCTCTTAAATTAATGTCACTATTTTGTATTTCCCCTTCTGCTTTTTGTTTGTTTGATTCTGCTTTTAATTAATTATTGGCTTATAATTAAAACACAGGGACAAGAGAAAAGGTTGCAAATCTCAACTCTAAATCTAATGTGTACTTACTGATATATCCAAAGGAAATATTCTGAGACCCAGCAGTGCCTTGTTAAAATAACTGGTCAATAATGTTCATAAAATTATTTAAAATAAAATTAGTTCTAATAGTTCAGAGTACATGCTTAATGTCTACTGAATTTTTCACGCAAACTGTTAGACCGAACTAAAATTTTAAATATTTTGCAGATTTATTTACTCTTTTTCCTTATATCATTTATGTCTTTATGACAACAAGTGCATAATTCCAGGGTCTTCCTTCAGGGGAAAGTGCTATTTTTCTTGCCAGAACTGAGAAGATTCACCTTTTAGTTGCCATTTACTAATATTGGAGAAAGAGATAGCTATTACTTTTCCTATTTATCCTGTCTGTTTGTTTCACTTCCATTCTACCTTATCCCTAGTATTTCTGCTTCCTTGCCAGGTACTTTGAAAAGAGAATATATTAGTATTATTTCCTAGCACACCTCCAAATCCCTTGAGATGTTATCACTAATGAAAAGAAACTACACAAATAGAAATCTACATATCATAATTATATTTATTTATTCTGTGATATTGTTCAGGAACAGGAGAGAAATAAATAATAAATATATTTGTATGTCACATACATGAAATTATATGAGGATCTTTGTAAGTGCTCTTAAACAAATAGGGGATGAGAAGAGTAGAAGTCAAATAATGTGCATTCATTTTCTGGTCTTGCCTCTTACAACTGTGAAGTTTAACTCACTGGTGTCTCTGTTTGCTCATCTATAAACAGGACTTATTATGTGGTGTTTTTAGAATATTATATAATATGATCCATGAAAATATTTTAGTACAGGACTGAGCACATGTATCTATAGTTGGTGTTATATTGTCATTGTTCCAATTATTATTAAGTTTCTAGATGATGGATGCAGGATGAAACAAAGATTAATATTTTCTTAACTCTTTCCAATTCATTCATGGGATTTTTTTTAAGTTATGAGGTCAAGAAAATTGTAAATGAGTAATTATGGTTAGCTCTGTTCTACCAAGAAAGCAGAACAGAGCTGGTGCTGTCACTGGGAAAACACATTTCTCAGATGTACTCCCCTATTTCTTTGCTTCCTTATCTATAAGCCTTACTTCTGTTTTCACATCCTCTCAGCCTCATGTAAGTATGTGCAACTAAAGTGATGCACACACAGCATACATTTATAAACAGATGTTCCAGCTGTGTTGATGGTAGTACCCATATGTTGCCCATTTCATGAGGGATGTACTGGCCCATTTTGCTTTACGCAGTGGGAATAATTGCGTTCACCGGGAGGCATAGCTTACTGAGATGATGCACCTTTTCATGTGAAAATGCAAATATGCTATAGGCTAAAAAAATTCACTTTGATGGCAGAGACATTAGAGGGAGAGAATGCACATTAATTGTAGTTATATTGTGTGACAAAATACAATTAGAAAGAAGCAAGGCAAAAGGAAGGAGTAAGGGCACTCGGGAAAGACTGAAGAAAACAAATTGCTTCTAAATCAAACATGGCATCTTTGGAAAGCTTTATGAAATCATGCCCACTAATGTACCTGAAAATTAGAGTTTGGCACAAGGGGCCATTGGAATATCTGAATGTAGTGAGTAATATTCAAATTACTGATCCATATATGGGAATTATAAAAGTCAAAAATTAAGAAAATATATGCAGGAAAATCTTAACAGGGGTATTGTTAAGGCAGAGCTATGAACAGACAGATAATTACTGATATCCAGTGACTTCCTTGAAGGCAGCTGAATATTAACAAGGGGAATCCTTACCAAGACTCAGCAGTGCCATAATTATGCAACACATTGCCCATTACTTAGTTATTCAGAGGTATCTCTAAGAAATTGGATTTCTGAATGTAGATGTAGCACATTAATTCTGAGATTTATTTGGTATGTGCTTCTAAAACAAGTGACCAGATTTATAATGTAGATAGAAAATTATTTAAATTCTCTGAAGCTATGGCTAGTCACCACACCTGTGCATCATCCATGGCTGAGCATTAGTTAAGGATATTTATAAGGCAAAATACATCACCCTTAAATCTGAGAGAAAGTTGCTGGTTTCTTTCTTTTTCTTTTTTTCTAAAGAGTACTTTATAAATTTTCCATTTTAGTTGAGTGGTAGCAAGCAAATACAATAATTTTCAAAAAACCATCCATGTTTGGTGGAAGACCACGATATGCAAGTACGAATATGCAAAAGAGTAAATTTACTTTGCTTTATTTTAGATTATGATAATGATGCCATCTTGCTTTAAGATGAATACATTACTATATTTCTCAACTGTCATTGACAGTAAAGGTACCCATAATGCTGTAAAACAAGTCCGCTGCCTATTCTTGTGTGCCTGAAAGCTAACGAGTTTTTAGATTTTTAATTGAAAAAAGATCAAAATAATTTTGTGACAGGTAAAAATTATACGAAATTCACATTTGTGCTCTCAAATAAAGTTTTATTTGAACACAGCCACACACCTTCATTTAGGTCTGTCTACTGCTGCTTTCCCACTACCATGATGAAATTAATTGGTTGTGACAAAAACCATATGTCTTCTACAGAAAAGGCCTTTTGACCCCTATTATAAGGCAAACTATGCCAGTAGATTGTTCTTTTCTCAGCAGGCCTAGTGGCCCAAGAGCTGACTCTGGTGTGAGAATTAGACTGGAGCAGCTGGGTGATTTGGATTGTTAGGAAAAGCCCCAGGCTTAAGAGAAAGGGGTTCATGGGATCAGCATTCAGGGTCTTCTCTTCCTGCCTTTGTTTACATCACAGCAGCCAGAAACTTCTAGTTTCACTTTGAGTCCTCTGGGGCCTCTCTTGATTTTACTTTTTCTCATTTTAACTTCATGAAAATTAAGAGTCAAAAGGTAAATCTATGTATTTCCTAGCAGAATATTTGTGTTTGTTTAAGCATAGGAAAATAAGAGTGTGTCAACCCCTCTGATGAGCAGAGGTCATCCATCACACTCCTGTTACAGCAAAAGTCCATTAGTGCTGGTGTAAGGATGCAGGGCAAGACTGCTTCATCTTCTAGTTGCCTTCAGTCACTTACCCTTGACCTGTGGAAAAGTTGCTTTGAGGAAAGGGTGGAAGTTCATGGAGAAAGGTTATATTTACTTGCCCCAGTTGCCCAATTAGTAGGGCACAATTCTGAGATTAAGGAAAAAGTATAAGAAATAGACAGACTTCCATAGTATGTCTAAGACCCCTCCAAAAAAGCGATGATGGAGTAACTGATCACCAAAGTCATAAGAAAGAGAAATGTCAAAAGATCATAACATGCATACGGCAGCAACTTTAAGAGAACTCAGAGAATGGGAGACACAATCTTTTGGATATAGGGTTAAGATTTATTTAAGACAAGGTTCACGGGATTTATTTTTTTGTTGTTGTTATTTTGGTTTGAGTGTTTTTAATTTTGAAACATGAGTTGTTTTCCAGTTCTTTATGCTGTTCATTCACAAAGATACTAAATGAAAGAGGGGGAAGGAAATGTGTTGCACAGCATACATTCTTGAGTGGTGACGTGCTCATAATAGGGCTTATTTGTAAGTACGTCTAGTGGCAATCATTGTGATATGGATCCTCTTGTAATTTGCTCAATGACAAGAGCTCATATGGATTCTTTTCTAAAAATCTAAGAGGCTCTTAAAAAGTGACAATGAATATCGTATGACCGATCAAGTATTCACTAACTGTTCAATCACTTGAGTTCTTTTGGTGCTATTGAACAAAATACTTCACTTTTTTTATATTCTACCCATTGGTCAGTTATAAGTATTTAAAGACCTTGTCACAATTTATAGACTTTTTTTAAAGTTTCTTGATATGCAGTAGAAGATAAATGATTCAGCTCTCAACTATCCAGCATTTTACTTGATTTTGTCATATTGACAGCAAAGGGCTCACTCCGAAGCAAACATAAAATGAAATCTGTCTTGTTAAATATATCTAAAGTTTAAAAGAAGAGCTCACAATGGATTTTTTTTGAATGGGCTACATCTGCTGTTTTACTAACAGTATGGTTATATTTACCTTCGTTAATAGTTTAGTGAGGCATGAGGCATTACAGACTTTTAGCTAACAGAACTAAAAATGGATAAAAATTAAAAGGTGATTATTCAAAATCCCCAAGATAAAGCCTGTTGAATTAGTATGTACTTTTTTTTCATCTATTTTACAGCTAGTATCTTCATTCCTTGAAGGATAAGCTTACTTCATAAGCATAAATAAAAGTAGAGAATTTCTCATATGAAAATAGGCAAAGTAAATTTCTAATATTTTAAGGATGGGCACATGTATTAAAAATAAGTATAAATATATTCCCTTATACATTTAACTTGATATTTAAGACATTTATGTAACATGTATACAATGTTATCAATAATAATAATATTGTGAATTCCCAACAACTTACTGCCAAACCCTTCCCCCCAAAAAATTACCAAGTAATTGTCTTCTACCTGTGTATTCTTCCCATATCAGTCTTTACCTCTACCACAGAGGATGATAAGATGATATTATCCCAAATTGTGTATTTATTATACCTGTAATTCTTATAAATTTATAATATGTAAGTGCATACCTAATAGTATAATATTATTTAACTTCTGATCTCCATTAAAATATATCTTACCATAGGTAGTCTTATAGCAATTGCTTTGATCAGTCAATGCTAGTTTAAGATTTATGCCCATCGCTTCAAGTAGTTTTAGCTTATTTACAGTTTTAACTTCTGTAAAATCGCCTGTTGTTTGTTTATACCACTATTACTTGTTCAGTCCTTGTCAATGTTAATTTTGGTTGTTTCTAGATTTTTGCTATCACATAAATTGTTGCTATTGACATTGGTTTCTATATATCCTGGAACAAACGTGAAAGTTTCTTTATGGCACATAATTGATGATAAAAATGCTTAATCTATGAATATGTGAATATTAATTTAATAATAACTATTTCTACACTCTCACCAGATTCTTTAATTCACACTTTCTACACTATTGGATATTATCAGGCTTCTTGATAGTTGAAAATCTAGGGTAAATAAAATGATATCCACTGCAGTTTAAATTAACAATTCTCATGAATAATTAATTATGTTGATACTATTTACATATATTTACTTTAAAATCACGTTTTTTTCTTCCATGAATCACCTACTCCTGTGATTTTTCCCCCCATCTTACACTGCCTTGTGTTCTTGCAATCTTTTCCTATCTTTGTTTCTTAAAACATATGTCCTTCCAGGATCTATTTATATTGCAGCAAGAAGGTTTCTCAAAGTACCATGCCAGATGCAGTAGCAATAGTTTTGAATGTGTATAAAGGACAACAGATATGTCATGTAAATACAGGATGAGAAGGATTTTTCTATCTGAACACCCAAATGTTGTGTATAATAAATGTCAAACCCCAAGGAAGAATAAAATAAATTAGGGCTGGTTGTGGGGATGGGGGCTAGTTAGTTGGGATGCATATGAGCTATCGTTTGCCTTGATAGTTTATCATTGCAGGTAGCAGAAGACACCAAAACCAGAAAATCAAGCTAAATCAAAAGCCAAAAGGTAAGACCAAATCTCAGAAGTCAAAAGGGCTTCCAAAGAATTACCAAGTGGGAGGCCACAAAACAAACATAAAAGCCAAGATGTAGACTTCATTGACAAGGACCGGTACAAGGGCACATGTCCAAATGTGAACCAGTCCAGAGTAAGTGAAAAGATACAGAGGTTTGAAAACTGCCTAGAAATCGATGCTTTTGTCAGATAGTTACTCTTATGTTATTTCCAGAGTAAGATAATACATTTGATAGTTAAAGTTAAAGGGCCCAAGGAATGGTGGGCATTATATCATGGTCTCCACAAACTTTCATGGCTTGTACAGAGCCAAGTCTGTAGTCAAAGAAACTCATTTCCTTTTTTTTTTTTTTTTTTTTTTTTGGAGTTGGGATGTTACTCTGTTGCCCAGGCTGGTGGAGTGCAGCACATGATCATAGCTCACTACAGCCTCTAACTCCTTGGCTAAAGCAATCCTTCTATCTCAGCCTCCCATGTAGCTGAATTACAGGCATGAGCCCAGCATGCCAGCCATAGCAACTCTTTATTAGTCTAGCATTCTTTGTTTGGACTGCAAGAAGGCAAAATGTAGATTCTTAGAAAGCTGAGCCTGTTTCCAGAGGTTTCACATAATGCTTAAGTCTAGGGGTAAACTGGAGAGGTAGATGGAGATTTGAGAACTCTTAAAAGCTGCACAGATGGCATTGACATCCTAGGTGAAAATTTAGGGGACTGAGGATGAAGACTGGAATGTTCATGGAGAAAATATGATGACAAAGGAAATAACTGGTAGTTGCCAGTGGTTAGCTGCCTCAGTTAAGAAATATTACTTACAAGTCTAACTCTGGCCCTTGTGGCCAAAATTGGGAATTAAAAGAAGAATCAAAAAGTGTTACTCATCTTGAATAATCTGTAATTTTAAATCCCATCATCCAAAGATAAGAAGAAATTCCCAGGTCTCTATTTTTACCAAATTATATTTGCCCTGGGAAATATCTTAGCAAATAAATTTAAGGTGCTTCTTTTCTACTTAGTAGGTATAAAACAGAAAGTACAAATCTATATAATTGGGCAGTCATGCTTTATCTAAATCTGACCATGTCATGCTGTGGCTCTTTCTTTTAACCTATCATCATATATATTATTAAAATTATTTATTAGTCTTAATCTTTATGGTCCCTGCACAGACAAACAAAATCACAATACACTTCATTCTTACTTGTAAGTATTGCCAAGGAAACAGCAGAGGCATTTGGTCTCTTGATTTTTATACTGCCAAACCATGCTTATTTGCATGAAGTTACTAAATTAGGAGAAGCTGAGTTTATGTTTTTAATATATAATAATTAAAATGATATCAATAATGTTTAAAGGCCCAGTTAAAATTAGAATTTTTTTCTCATTCCGCTAATGAGAGAACATAGAAGATGAACTGAAAATATAATATTAATTTTAAAATTAATTTCAATAATAAACATAGCAAGAGTGAATGAGAGTTTTAGAGAAAAAATGGTATGTATTATTGGCTTCCTAATAGTATATTTGTGTTCAAGTTTCTAATGCAATAAATGCGCTTTTTGAAGTATCTCTCTTTCTAAGGTTTTCTTCTTAATTTCACACCAAGTAATCATTCAAAATATAAAGATGTTTTTCTCTGGATTATAATTGATAATAGAACTTGTTTTTGAAACTTGAATGTATGTATAACATAGTCTTTTCTTAATACAAAATATCATTTTAACCTTGCTAAGGGGGTCTTGTTTGTTTCCTTGCATGTTTTTTCATTTTCTCTTTTTTTTTTTAACTTTTATTTTAGAGTCCAGAGGTGCCTGTGCACATTTGTTACATGGGTAAATTGCACATCATTGAGGTTTAGTATATGAATGATACCATCACCCAGGTAGTGAGCACAGTATCTGATAGTTTTTCAACCCCCTTTTCACTTTCATTTTCCCTCCCAGTAGTCCCACTGTCTACTTTTCTCATCTTTCTTTCCTTGTATCCTCAGCGTTTAGCTCTCAGGTATAAGTGAGAACATGGTATTTGTTTTTCTGTTCTTGGATTAATTTGCTTAGGATGATGACCTGCAGCTGCATATATGTTGCTGCAAAGGACAAGATTTTGCTCATTTTTATAGCTGTGACATATTCCATGATGTATATATACCATATTTTCTTTATCCAGTCCACTTTTGATGAGCATCTAGGTTGATTCTAAGTCATTGCTATGATAAATAGTGCTGTGATGAACACATATATGCATGTGTCTTCTTGGTAGAATTATTTAGTTTTCTTTGAGTATACACCCAGTAATGGGAATTTGGGGCCAAATAATAGGTAGTTAAATTCTTAGTTCTTTAAGAAATCTCCACACTGTTTTCCACAGAGGCCAAACTAACTTATATGCCCACCAGCAGTGTATAAATGTTCCCTTTTCTTCGCAATCTCACCAATGTAGGGTTTTTTTTTTTTTTGAGACTTTTTAATAATGGCCACTCTGGTGTGAGATGGTATCTCATAGTGGTTTTAATTTGCATTTCTCTAATAATTAATAATGTTAAGCATTTTTTAAAATATATTCCTTGGACACATGTATGTCTTACTTTAAGAAGTTTTGGCTCATGTCCTTTGCCTATTTTTTAAGGTTGTTTCTTTCTTGTTGAATTGTTTAAGTTCCTTATGGATTCTGGATATTAAACCTTTGTGGGATGTATAGTTTGCAAATATTTTTTCCCATTCTGTATGTTGTCTGTTTACTCTGTTCATAGCTTTCTGTTTGTTTGTTTGCTTTTGCTCTGCAGAAGCTCTTTAGTTTAATTATGTTCCACTTGTTAATTTTTGTTTTGGTTGCAATTGCTTCTGGGGACTTAGTCATAAATTCTTTGCTAAAGTGACATCCAGAATGGTTTCCTAGATATTCCTTTAGGATTTTTTTTTTTTACTTTTGACTTTTGATTTTTTTAATTTTATTTTATTATTATTATACTTTAATAGTTTCACGTCTTACATTTAAGTCTCTAATCCATCTTGAATTACTTTTTTATATATGGCGAATTGTAGGGGTCCAGTTTTATTCTCTGCATATGGCTAGCCAGTTATACCAGCATCATTTATTGAGTAGGGGGTCCTTTCCCCATTGCTTGTTATTGTCGACTTTGTTGAAGATCAGATGGTTGTAGGAGATAGGACTGTTCACCATGGTGCATGCCTGAAATCCAAGCACTTTGGGAGACTGAGGCGGGCGGATCACCTGAGACCAGAAATTGGAGACCAGCCTGGCCAACACGGTGAAACCCCATCTCGTAAAAATACAAAAAATTAGCCAGGGATGGCGGCGCGTGCTTGTAATTCCAGTTACTGTGGGTGAGGCAGGATAATCGCTTGAACCAGGGAGTTGGAGGTTGCAGTGAGCTAAGATCGAGCCACTGCACTCCAGCCTGACAACAGAGCGAGACTCCGTCTCAAAATAAATGAGTAGATAGATAGATAGATAGATAGATAGATAGATAGATAGATAGATAGATGACAGACAGACAGACATTGTTGCAGGAGCCTGTAGAAGCTATTCTGAAGGCTGAGGTAGAAGCATTGCCTGAACCCAAGAGTCTGAGGCTGCAGTGAGCGAAGATCCTGGCATGTTACTTATTCATCCTACTATTTTGAATTAAGAAGAGAAGAGATCGCTGTGCAAAGCCTTGGAAAGCCTGTTTATGTGAGCAAAAGCACTTATTTCTTTATTTTTGTTCTTTAGCATCCTTTGAAAATTCTAATAAAGTTGCTGTATTTCCTCAGATATTCTCAGCCTCCACTTATTTTCTGATTGTGTGTTCAGAACGGCAATTCGTTTGTTTCTCTCTTTTTGAGAACAAAAAAGAAAAGCAACCAAAATACTAGTATTTATAAAAAAGAACTATTATCTTTCTGGGAACAGACACAACTGCATCTACTAGTACAAGACCTGAACATATATTTTTGTTTTTTAAAATGTTTATGAACGTTTTAATCTTTCCATTCAAAAAATTCTTAATTAATTACAAAATGTTCATACAGTGTACTTAAACATTTTTAAGCACTTTAAAAGAATTGTGTTTCAAAATATAGTTGATTGATATAATCAATTCATACCACACTATCAAAAAATAAGTAATTCAGTTATATCAAAGACTAATTTTGATTTGTAAAGTATCTTAAATAAGGCCATGATTATATCTAAGGAAGGACATTATTCTATACAAAAGGATGTATATACATAACTGTTTATCTCATTTTAAAAGGTGTATATGTGCACTTCTATAAAATTACTCTGAGACCAAATATTTAGTCTCTCATAAAAACAATCTATCCCCTGAAAATACCAGCCTCAAAAGAAAGCTTTACCAAATTTATCATCATAAAATATAAAAAAAAAACTTCTAAAATCTCTCAACATTACTGATAATTCAAGTATCAGGAATTATAAAACAAAATATAAATAAAAAAGCTGTAATTTGAGTGACTGCAAAATAAAAATATAAATCCTAAAAGTAAGGTTAACAGGTTACACTCTGGGTAGAACTGATAACATTAATTATAGAGTAATTTCATTAATGTTGAATTTGCAGTATTCTTACTTTGCATCAACTTTGTAGTTTGTTAGAGATTGTGCCAAGTTGATTTTCAAAGAATAACATGCTCTTTAAGATTTTTCTCAGTAACTTTTAGTTGGCCTTTAAAAATAAGGATTCAGTGCTTTTCTCTTTTAGGGTCAAAGTGCTTTTTTAACCAAAGACTTTATTTGCCTTTACAAATAGTGGAGATACTTATAAAGAATTTTAAGTAAATTTTATTAAAATATTTTTAGAATAGTTTGGTAACTTCTGTAGGAATAGTAATTTAATGGGTTATTTTTGTGGCTGCATATTTTTAACTTTTACAAAATTTTTCATGAACTGATAAAAAATTTTATTAGTATTAATTTTATATTATTAGTTAAATAAAGAAATTACTATAAAGCTATACTATACTTATATTACTAAAAAGCTATTATATAAAGTTCATGTTACTGATGCAATTCAAGGAGGGTGATATATTTGTGTTGAGATTAATATTATAGCAAACAAGGTTCACTGAAATGCATGGGCACCTGCATGTAGAGTGGCAAAATAGTAATTAATATGGATTATATTACATAGGAATGAATCACAGGTTAGGAGATTACTCTAAACATTGAGTCTGCTTTCACCACATACTCATATTATTCTCAAATCCGAGACTACATGCCATGGAGAAAATATTTTATGATCCAACTAACATTTGAAGATTTGATAATGCAATTCTGTTATCTAGGTAAATGGAACATTTACTAAATCTAATTGACATTAAATCCGGCAATCATGTCACTGACTCATTTCTATAGCCAAAATTATTCTCAATATACTGTTTGCATATCTTTAGTAGAACATTTTTTATTCCACCAGCAAACATAAAGTTAGAAATGTTTTATTATCTACCATATGAGGTAGCTTAATAGTATCAAAAAGAGCATAATATCTGACAAGTGGTTAGTTTTGTGTCTTCATAAAAATGTTATAGACGTAGTATCAACTTTCGATCAAGTAGTTCATGACTGAGGATGTATACTGGACCCTTAATTTTCTGAATGTATTTTCTATATTTATTAAGTTAATCAAAACAAAAACAAACAAAATTTCTTACCATTTCTACTTAGCTGTGAAGTTTCTAAAACTAAAAATAAACCAAAGTTCTTTCTGGCAGTAGTCACTTCTTTTTCTAACTATCCATTGTATATCTCCCCTTGAAAGTCCCTTAGTCATTATACAATGAATTTGTTTTTTAAATGAGGCGGTGGTTATATTTTAAGAAGGGCATCTTTCCACAAAAAGCATATATACATAAGTGTTTCTCTCATTTTAAAGTGTCCGTGTGCACTTCTGTAAAATTTTAAGTCACCACCTGTACCCTACAAACTGCTTTCCATCTTTATTTCTCTATCCAGGCACACACACACACACACACACTCAGAAATGAAGCCAGGCTCTTGTCTCTCTGCACCCCTCCCATCTTTTAATAAGTTCCCACCATCTTCTCATACTAATATCCTGAAACAGCCCTTCTCTACTGTCCCACTAAGAACGCCTTGTTTTCATACCTCATTCTTTCTTCTCCCTGTTTGTCTTCAATCTGTTCTGCACACGTTTTACTTATTGATCTTTCTAAAACAGATCTTTTTACACCAAACACATTATGTAGATTTTGTGATGACTCCCTTATAGCCTTGGAATAAACCCACTCTTTAGTATGACATACAAGGATGGTGCCTACATCCTCAGCCTCTGTGCCACTCTTCTGCGTTACACACACCACCACCATGTCCTTCATGCTTTATTTTTCTCTCTGTTGCCACAAATGCCCATCTCATTCTTTACTGATGAGTTTCTAAATTAATTCTACTAGATATTCAGCTTTATGATCATCTCTCCCAAAATTCCTTCTCTGGCCCTCAACTCATACTAGATATACTTCTACTGTGGCATTAATCTCTGCCTGTGAGAACAGTCTATGCTCCATCCCACTGCCCCAAATTTGACTGAGGATCTTGAAGGCTAGTACTGTGTCTTCAACATCTACCCCAATGACTAGTATAATTTTTGTTTAATGAATATTTGTTTAATAAATAATTCAATGAATGAATTGTAATCACTTGTCAAAAAGTATACTGAGTCCAGTCATTAGGCCCAAGCTTCTTTGACAGATTTCTAAAGCTAGTATTCATCAAAGCATAAAGAATCATTGTGATATATTTAGATTCCAATTGTATATTGAGTTCATGAGGTAAAATCACTTTAGAATAATTTATTTGAAATAGCAGTGCATATAGATACAGAGTTTATTATGTTACTGTCTACAGTCATGAATTGTTTACGGACAGGGATACTTTCTGAGAAATGCATCTTTAGGCAATTTCATTGTTGTGAAAACATTGTAGTGTACTTACACAAACCTAGATGGTATACCTACTACACACCTAGGCTACATGGTATATAGCCTATTGCCCCTAGTCTACAAACCTGTATAGCATGTTACTATACTAAATACTGTAGGCAATCATAACATAATAGTATTTGTGTATCTAACCATACCTAAACATAGAAATGCACAATAAAAGTGTGATATAAAAAATAAAAAAATGTTATGCCTGTATAGATCATTTACCGCAAATAGATCTTGCAGGATCGGTAGTTGCTCTGGGTGAGTCAGTGACTGAGTGGGGAGGGAATGTGAAGGCCTAGGACATTAGTGGACACTAATGTAGACTTTGTAAGCATTATACACTTAGGCTACAATATGTGTATTACAAATATTTGTTTCTTTCTTAGCTTACTTTAACTTTCTTACTTTTTAAACTATTTTTTAACTTTACGACTCTTTTGTAATAATGCTTAGCTTAAAACACAAATGCATGTACCTTTGTTCAAAAATACATTTTTCTTTCTATCATTCTGTAAGCCTTTATTTATTTTAAAGATGATCTATTTAGTTTTACTTTTAAAACTTTTTGTTAAAAACTAAGAAAGAAGCACACACATTAGCCTAAGCTTACACAGGGTCAGGGTCACCAATATCACTGTCTCCTACCTTCACATCTTGTCCCACTGGAAGGTCTGCAGGGACAGTGACACACATGGAACTGTCATCTTCCAGGATAACAACATATTCTTTTGGAATACCTCCTGAAGTACCTGTCTGAGGCTGCTTTAAGTTAACACGTGGTGGGTTTAGCTTTTTTAATAAATAGAAGCAGTACACTGTAAAATAAAGATATAAAGTGTAATATAATGATGTACATAAACCAGTAACATGACTGTTGATTATCATTAGCAAGTATTATGTAGTATACATAATTGTATGAGCTGTACTTTCATATCACTAGCAGCACAGTTGGTTTGTTAATACCAGCATCACCACAAACACATGAGTAACGCATTGCATTATTACATTATGATGGCTATGATGTCACTAGGCAGCAATAAATTTTTGTTTTATTATAATCTTATGAGACCACTGTTTCATATGTGGTTCTTCTTTGATTGAAAAGTTGTTATATAGCACAAGACTATATTTAGATATAGTTGCAAAGAACTAGATTCAATTTATTATGTCAAAGAAACTTTCACATTAACATATTTGATTATTATTTTAAAAATTTGGACAAGTAGTTGGAAGCCTCATGTGAAATTTTCTTTGAATTGCTTAAAAGCTTAATTTAATACTTTGGTTGTCAGGTTTTTAAGCAAATCTGAACATCGACATAAAAGATAGCATGAATCCCAAGTACTGCAGGAAATAAGGGTGAAAAATTGCACAACAAAAACATAAACAAAAAGGAGAAAGCTTCTAAATAGTAATTGGGGTGCTAGGGAAAACCACTCATTAACATGAGCTATAAATTCAAGGTATTTTAAAGAATGGAAAAATGCATAATTTTTAGCCTTCTGCTCCTCTACCACACTACACACACTATATATATACACACACATATATATGTGTATATATATATTTTTTGTGTATATATATTTTGTATATATATGTGTGTATATATATTTTTTAAGCTACAAAAAGCTTTAATATGAAGGCATAGTATAATAATATTAGTTTATTTTTCTATTCAAACTAACTTAACTTTAGGCTACATTTGTGAAAATATGGAAAAACATAGTAAGTGTTCTAGTTTATCACATATTAGTTGTATTAACCTCTTTATGCTTTGCCTTTCTCATTTGTAAATAAAGTAATAGAATATAGAGGAATTTTGTAAAAATTAAATGAGAGAATCCCTGTGAACAAGTAAACAGTGCCTAGCATGTAGTAGGCATTTAATATATATTAACTATGTGTTTACTTATAAACATAAATAAAACCTAGCAAATATTTACACCTATTACTCAAATTTATTTTTAAAAAAGGAAAGAAAAAGACAATTTATTCTTTTAGTTGCCTGGTATTAGTTTGACTATATACTGAAATAAACAGGTCTTCTTTTCCAACAGTTTAAGGAAAACTACCTTTATTTTATGTTTTTCTTCCTGGCATTTTGTTTGGCATTATGTAGACCTAACCCTATATCAGGTATCATCAAGCTGCTTATAGGCAGCAGATTATTCAAAGTAAAATTTTAGTTTTTAAGTAGTTTTTGCTGTTCTTATTTTTTGCAATCACATATTTACTAGAATATCTAATAGAGAAATATAACTATATGAATACTAAAGATAATATAAATAATTTGCATTTTGTAGAAAAAAGTATTTTTTATTTCCAAATTTGTATCATTCTGTTCATATTGACCATTTATAACAATTTAGTTATATATACATATTTATACACCGTAGAATTATTTTTAACTACATATTTATGTTTAAATTACAATAAATAAAAGAGTTAAAACTAATAGTATAACATAACCAGTAACTTTTTAAATTATTATTAGCAAGCATTATGTGCTATTCATAATCGTATGTGCTATAAATTCCTCATAAAGTTCCCTATAAATTAAAGTCAGTCCATGAAATCTTTAAATTCAAATTTAGCTGTTCCCAAGGAGAAATGCTGAAGTATTGCTTAAAAAAAAAATCTCTAGGTGTTTGAATTAAATAACTTCATATTAATTTTTAAATACAACGATTGTATGCATTCCATTTCAAGTCTTGACAATTATTTCCCTGTTGATTCTAAATCAGGAAATAGATGCCAGTAAGCTGAACTATTGTTATGCTTCCAGCTGCAGCTGCACAGTCTCAGAGACAGTGGTGAAAAATTAAAAACAACACTGGAGAACGTTTTTTAAAAGGTATGAAAGTCATCTTAGATTTTTAAGAAATCTTAGTCAAACCACTTGCACCTGGGCTATCACATATTTTGTTTTAGACGACAATAATGTAGTTGTGAAATTTCTTATTATGGGCACATAGAAGCATATTTTAGCTATCTTTTTAAATATTATTTCTGTCTTTTTCATCTTTGAAGAGAATAAAGCAATTATTTATGCCTTTGTTTTTGGTTCTAAGTTTAACATTCATTTATGTGTATCTGTGTATGCACTTTACAAAAACCATCTCTGTTAAAGAATCCATGCCTTAATGGATAGTAGAAAAAAAAAATCAAAATGCTTAAGTATGTTAGAATAAGTAAGACAGGAAAAATTTACACGTACATTTTGTGTTACAAGTCAGGCATCAAAATAACAGAATTTCATCAGATTTTTACTAGGGATGAGGCATTTGTGAGGCACACTGTGGGATTTGCAAAAGAATAGAACTCATTCTACCTTCAAAGAACCCTCAATATTTTCACAATACACAGACAGTGAAAAAGAATAAAGATGAAGCTAAAAGGAGAAGATAACATACCTGTTTTCTAAGTAGTCCAGTCTAAATAATCCTGGCGAATCCAAATCTTTGTTTTTAAATCAAAAATAAAAAAAATTATCCAATATTTCCCTACAAACTAATGCTACCAAGGGAAAGAACTGACAATCGCATGTTCTAGGTTTGTCTATGAAGCATAAAAGTACATTTAAGATTTAAGATATTTTAGGTATCCTAACTATAGTAACAGTCTCATTACTATGTATCTCAGCAGTAAGAGATGACAAATTAAGTACATCAGGAAAGAAGGCCTCCCAGGTCATTGTGCAAGTAAATTAAAGGTGAGTAGAACATTTGTAGTTAAAGTTTTATAAAAAAGAATCATAAAGAGGTGAAAAACCAGGCTTGGTTTAAATATTGAAAATTTTTCTCTTTATCAAAAAAAGTTTTACTTGGAATCCAGAGATTGAAGTTCTAATCTTAGCACAGTCACTAATTTCTCATCTATGATCTTATTTTCTTATGTATATAATGAGGGAATTCACGTAAAATTCCTTCTGTCTGTAATATTCTATGATTCTCTTATCAGCCTTGTCTGTAAAAATAGCCCATTATTTGACCTGTTCTAGACAAGGTGGCTCCATTTATTGGAACCTAGATATTCATGTAGTCAATAGGCTTTCTGTAGTGGGCAGAGACATTTTTATTTTGTGAGTTTCACAAAAATTAAAAGTAGATGGGGTATTTTTGATAGAAGACAACACACATAAAACATTTTCTCCCATGCGTTTCTGGTAATAATTCTCCCTAACTACCCTTCATACAAGCTTCTTGCTTATATCTCTCTTGGTTAATCCCTAATTAATTGAGCCTAAGTCTTCAGCTAAGTGAAATAGGAACTTGTTTTTCACTACTTCAATAAAGTGACTAGAAATTTTTGCCCTAAATGAAACATTTTTCTCTTTTTTATATACTTTTATTTTAAGTTTAGGAGTACACATACAGGTTTATTACATAGGTAAACGTATCATGGGTGTCTGTTGTACACATTATTTAATCAGCCAGATATTAAGCCTAGTACCCAATAGTTATTTATTGTGATCCTTTCCCTCCCCCAACCCTCAACCTTCCGAAAGGCCTCAGTGTGTTGTTCCCCTCTATGTGTCCATGTGTTCTGATCATTTACCTCCCACTTATAAGTGAGAACATGCAGTATTTGGGTTTTTGTTCCTGCGTAGTTTCCTAAGGATCCATCCATGTTCAGCTCCATCCCTGTTCCTGCAAAGAACATAATCCCATTCTTTTTTAGGGCTGCATAGTTATGCCATAGTGTAAATAAACCACATTTTCTTTATCCGATATATCACTGATGAACATTTAGATTGATTCCATGTCTTTGCTAGTGTGAACAGTGCTGCAATGAACATATGCATGCATATGTATTTATGATAAAGCAATTTATATTCCTCTTAGTATATATCCAGTAATGGGATTGCTGGATTGAATGGAATTTGTTTTTAGCTTTCTTAAGTTTAAAAGGGACCTCCACTTATCTTTTAATATAACCTGTAAATGACAATGCTGGAATGATTTTTGTAGAAGGGTTTTCATAATAATTACTACCTGTGTACCAGAATCTTGACTGAACTTGATAGGATGGTCCAATTTATGTACCTTATATTTATAACAAGATGAAATTCATAGCTTAACATTTTAAGTCAAAACCAAATTATTCTAATTCAGAAATAAGAACAAAATATCTTTATCCATATGAATCCTATTATTTGCCTCTTTTATAGCCTTGGTGTTATTTGCAAAGTGTTTTTAACTACTGCTGAAAAAAAAAGTCCAACTTTAAATAAATAAGTTTACATAAATGCATTTATCTCCCATTTGCTTTCTCCTAATATGTTCTATAATGCTGGATTCCTGCTTTGCTTTTAGAAGACACACACATGCACACATCAGATACACATGTTTTTGCTCACAAGACCCTAACTGTAAACTGAATACATTTTTTTGAAATGACAAGTTCTCAACCACTATTGGCATTCTCTACCCTCCGAAATGGATTAGGTGTCTTAAGCTTCTTTTCACATAAAGGATTACATGATGATTACATATAAAAACATATAATTTCCATGCAATATTTCCAGTATAATAACTTTTGTATTCTATTAGCAAGCCCCATGCAGTTATACCATTTCATAGCCAATGATATTTATACCACATTAGTGTTTCGGAATTTTTTAAACAATTCACTTTATTTAAAAATTGTGTGTGTGAATCATTTCTTGTTCTAGTTCTTTACTAATTTGGAGTTATTTTTATATGTAATTTTGTAGCATTTTCTTGAATCTCTAGTTGCATGATATTTTATCCAAGAGAAAGTAGTGTTTAGATATTTAGAACTAAAATGTGTAGTAATAATACATGGCACTTATTTACCACATATTCTATACCATTTTTTTCATTTGTTTACCAGTTCTACACACATAGAAAGTGAAAAAAAAGAATGAGATTCAGATATAGAAAATGCCTAAGCAAGGATTCAAACAGTTCTTTACATCTCAGATCCAAAGGTCCTTTCCATTTGTTCACATTCACTCCCTTTTTTATCCACCTTCAATGTAGATATCTAGGTTTTATGATAAAAAGCACTGTGGTAAAAGTGCCATTAATAATAATTTTTTGAAATTCACTTTTTTTTTCAATTTTACACCACAGAGTTTACAAAAGACACTTTTATGTCTTAAGAAGATCCTCTGTAATGACTACCCAGATGCTCTCTGGGCCATAATGGGATGGATGACAAAGGCAGTTTGTCCATACCTAGGAAGAGTGAGTGACAGAGAGAAGCCCTTGATTACCACCTTCTCTTTTCTGATTCTCACTTCATTCTTCTCCACTACAAGCCAAGACTTGAAAGTCCACCTTCCACAACAAGAAAGGTTTATACTTGATTCCAGCATTTCTATAACTGTATTCCTTGGATTCATTCCTAAGCATAATAGGAGTTTTACAAAATAAAAATGCTACAGGTTGAATCACATATGGAAAAACAATGGGCCGAATGAAGACAAACAAATTTCTCTGTTCAGTGCCTACAATATGCTAATGTTCTTTAAGAGTCTCCAAAAGGAGAAAATATTCAGTAGCTTTTCTCAAGTTTATTTGCCTATGAGAGTCTGATGTAGCTAAATACCTGATAATATTGTTTGGCAGATGCAATTGAGAAACACAGCTTTAATGAGTTATCAGCAATTTATACCTTGGGGTAAAGGAAAAATAGTACAGAAGGACTTGGTAAGAGTAAATTTTACTTGATGTCAATGAGCTTCCAAATATACAATCATGCCTCACTTAATGGCAGCAACACATCCTGAGAAATGCTTTCTTAGGCAACTTTGTCATTCTGAGAACATAATAGACTGTACTTACACAAACCTAGATGTTACAGCCTGCTACACACCTAGGCTATATAGCATAGCCTATTGCTCCTAGGCTATAACAGTACAGCATGTTACTGTGCTGAAGTCTGTAGGCAATTGTAACATATCAAGGAACACCTATGTACATAATGAGAAACATCTACGTATCTAAATATATCTAAGCATATAAAAGGTTGAGTAAAAATACAGTAACATAACCTTGTAGGACCACTTTGGTATGTACATTCTGTAGTTGAACAAAACATCATTATGGGGCATGTAACTGTAATTGCTACTTTTGGTGAAAATTCTACTTAGAGCCACTAACACAGGTGTAGCTGATGGACATAGTAGTAGAAGGAAACAGATTCTCTGTTTTTGCCTAATGTGCGCTGACAGTACGAGTGAAATAGTTCATTTTCACCAAAAGATTATAAGGACAGCTACATAAATACTTTTACCAACATTACTGGCAATGCAAGAGCAGAGTAATAGATATCTTTAGTACACCAGACAGCAATCACTTAATCAAGTAATAGAATAATCTTACCTAAATGTGCTTAATAGGTTACTGAAAGAAAGGAAACAAACAAAAAACAGATCCACTTGAGCAATTTCTTATTGAACCAGTTTGTTTTTAATGTCAAAGTCACTTACAAAATCACTGCCTCTTAGGAAGTTAGGAATTTAGGAAGTTAGCAAGTAGCTTCAGATGGCCACTTAATTATACTAGTAGCACATTTGTACTTAGTTTCTGTGTCAATAAAGAGTTGTGATAATGTTGGAGCTTATTTCCTTGTGTATATGTTCTGTGTCCCCAGTTAAATGGTGAACTGAAGGTGATTCCTACTTGCATTTTACTTTTGAATCTTTTCATTGCTACATTGCATTTTACAATTTAGGCATTTAACACATTTGATTGACTTGTCTCTCAGGAAAATAGCATAGCACAGTCTCTCACAGCTGTATATAATGAACAGGGCCTTATTAAGTTGAAGTTCAGGTGTCTTCACATAACTATTTGAATGCCTGGATTTATTTAAATGATAGTGTAAATATAAAAGATTACTTTTTTTTTCTTCAGGAGAATCACTTTTCTCAACGGTATCCCATTTTCTAAAAGAAAATAATAATAATAATAATAAAACTAAAAAGAAAAAAAACCCTCCAGTATAAATATGTAGAAGTGGTAAAAAGTCAATTTGCACATAAAACCAGAGATTTTACCAAAGACATAGTGAGCTGATGATAACATCCTTTAAATTTTCTATTTTTTTGTTAAGAGTTTTGTAATATTTTGATGTGAATTTTATTTGAAACATCGTTGTAGATTACAGAATTTTTCTAGAAACAAGGAAAACCCAGTAACTGTAAATGTTGCTGTGCCCTAATCCTTCAGTCAAATAGTCCGCAGCAGAGTAAGTCCGCTAGCTATATAGGTCAACCTTAGTCACAGAAGAAAAATTAATTTTGGCTTCTGTGTAGCAAAAGCCAAACTTTAATTTTAATTAATGAATGTCTATGATATGAACTAAATGTGTGTGTCTCCCAAAATTCACATTTGATATCCTAACTCTAGCATGTGATGGTATTAGGAAGTGAGCCCATTGGGAGGTATTTAAGTATCATGAGGGCACCTGATAGGATTAGTCCCCTTATAAAAGGAACCTGCAGAACTCACTCTCTCCCCCTCCTCCTTCCTCCTCTCCTTGCCTGTCCTGTACCTTGAATTTCCCACCTCCAGAAATGTAAGACAGAAATTCCTGTTGTTTATAAGACATGCAGAATATGGCAGTTTGTTATAGCAGCCAAACTAGCTAAGACAGTCTAAAACATGTTTCTGAGTCTGTGAAGTCTTAGAATACTTATTTAAGTCAAAGGTCTGGAACTCATCGTTTGAGGGTGAATTGCAGTCTATTTACCCATCAGGTAGTTGATGTTTTTCCTTCTACTTCTCTATTAACAGTACTAATGGACTTTGAAAATTTGCATTTCTTCAACGGCATTATTCTGCCTCATTTTCTTAATACTATCCTGTGGGTTTTGTCAACCTCCCCTTTTATCTATTTCTTCAGTCTAAATTAAATTCAAACAAGCGTACATCACTTTCTATGAATATTATAAAATCTACAAAGCAAACTCTTCTGTGAACATAGTAAATAACACTTCTGAAGGTAATATTTAAGTGCAATTTTGAGCAAAGTCATCTTACTTTGTAATGGAACTAGATAATTAAACAAAATAAACTGCTTAAGATAACATTAAGGACTTGGCTGCGGGAAAACTTGGCAAGGCAAGACAACTGAGCTAAGGCTTTTTTCTCCTCATTAGTTCAGGTGAACTGCTTAGGTGTGCTGTATTGAAATCTTTCCTCCTCTCCCTCATAAAGATGGCTTTTCTCTGACTTAGTTGTTGCAGGTGAAGTTGTTTTTGCTTAGTAAGCAGGATCCTCCAGCCTAGAAAACAGAGAGGACTGTGAAACAGATGCCGTGACCTATTTCTTCCCAATATTCTTTCCCAGCTGCCATTCAACCATCTTCAGAATTCAGGCAAAAATTGACAAGTAGCCTTCAAAGCTGCTAGTACTTCTCTGTGCTACCAGTTTCCTTCTCAAGAAACCTATCTGTATATCTGAATTCCACTTGGTAGATAGATGGAAGGAGAGCTTGTTCCCAAACAAGGCGCTATTTCCTTCAGGTGGCTCCCCTATGGCACAGACATGCTAGAATTTATTTGCCCTTTGCCCCAGATGGGAAAAAGGACCTGTGTAACCAAGGCAACTCACTCTGACCAAAAGGATGAGCAACAGAAAAGAAGTTGGTTCTTCTCACTGGACCCACCTTTTTAGACAGCTGGAAGGTAACTCTGGCTTCTGGCATTTTCCTCCACTTCTGCCAGGCCATGACTTAATCAGGGGCACATTTACATTCTAACCTGACTTCTTCTGCTTCTTCTCTTTATTTCTCACTTGTAAACAAACATAAAAGCATGGCCATATTGGCCTTTTTCTTCTGTCTTACATCAAATAATTTATTACAAATGAGCCATAAAAATGAATGTAGCCCTTTGCACTTATTCTTCAGAAACGCGGTGTTTTGATTTCCTTTTTCTAATTGTCTGAGAAAGACAGGCCAAGGTTCTAGAGAAGAAGAATATCTAAAACTACCTCATAAAGTACAGAATTTAGGCAACTGGAAATATGGAATACAAGGTATTTCAGAATCAGTATAATGTTCTGTGCTTATAATACACTGTCTTTCATCTAATAAATTCCCTTTCCCTTTTAAGATAAGGGTAGCTATTTTTATGCTTTCATTTTTGGTACCCACAGAGAGACTTCACCGTGTAAGCAAAAAAGCATAAGAATTCTGGCAGATATTTGTGCTAAGATCAAATTATCCATCAGCTGAAGAACTGGTTAGCTCTTTGCAGAACCACAAACTAGGATAGTTATAAAACTAACTGCAAGGCCAAAACTAGGAACCAGAAATTTTGGTTACTTCTTAACAACATCTCTCTGAACCATCTCAGGCCTTCTTTTCTCCTGAAGCCCGCACAGCCTTGTTTATTCTGGGGCTTCTTAGCCGTCCGTGGTAGCTCCGGCCAGGGTAAGGCAGTCACCTCCAAGGGTTCCTGATGGGAGAAGGGGACTGCTCTCCTTACTGCTATATTTCAAAACTTATCTCAGATCTTATTTCCTTTCTCTTTTGGAGCCTTCCATGAATAAAGAGGCCCTTAAAGTTCCTTTTCAGAGAACCTTTTAGTGCAAAACTTATATCTTCTTCAGCTCTTTTCTTTTTTCCCCTCAACTTTCCATTTGGGGAATTTTTCTTAACCTATTATTAGGATGGGGACTAAAACAAATGCATATTCTTGGAAACTTTTCTGTCTTATACCTAGGTTAATGTTTTTGAAATTTTCATTAAGAGAATGCAGATTTTGATGGTTAAACTTCATATTTCTACTAAGACAGTTAGTTCTTCCTTAAAGCAAATGTCTCAGAATAAGCAGGGAATGTGGGGAAATGGTGATAACTTAATAACATACTGATATATGCTACCATTGGTTTGTTGCTTAGGGCTACAGGTTGATTGTGTAGCACAAGTGTTGATGCAATTAAGCACAGGGAAGCCTCTCCAGGAAAGGCTTCAGCTTAATATTCAAGACTGATGTAAGGATTGATGTATAAAGCAGTCAGCCCAGTGCTTGGCAAATACAAAGGGGACTGGGGGAGTGGCTACTAGCTCTTATTAACAGTGACATGGAAATGTCACTTTAAATTTTAAAAATGGCTACTGATGCAGTTTATACTTCAGTAAGAGTATATCTTGTCTATTATAATAGTGCAAGCAATTAGCAGATATAGTATTAATGGCTCACCTCCTAAAACTGTCTTTGTGAGAGGGACTGATTCAGCTAGTTGGATACTGATAATCTCATTACAGCCAATTCTTACATAACGCTCCCGTGGAAAGATGTTTCTATACAAAGGATAGGTTAGACTTCTATCCATAGGATTATTTTTCCCATTCATGATGAAAAATATTTGATTTTTGAGTATGGGAGGGAGAGCATATACCTAATTTCCCCATATTTTCAATATTCTGACTTCCCTCTATGTCCCCACTGAATAAAATCCTATGCATTTTTCTAGCCAAGAGTGGACCGAATGGGGGGAAATTTTACTAGACCTTTTAAATCTCAAGATTCTGGATTCAGAGAGAGGGGAAGGAGTGTGGAAGTGAGAACAGAGAATGCACCATCTACCTAGTGTGTTCCCCAGATGGATGATTGATGGCACTAGAAGAATTAAAGAATTTTATTCAGTTGAACTTATCTAGAAAAGGTAGAGTAAAAGAGTCTAATCTTATTACCATAAAAAGCCTCAGATATTAGGTACTAAGTCCAATTCAATCACTAACCCGCTGGACTTTTAAATGTGATGAAGGGCTGAGGTATATCACAACCATTTGGGTATGTCTCTTATGCATCCATAATATTACTGGAAAACCCAATTGTTTGTCCATTATGTTACCAGTATTTGTTATTGTTTTTAATTTTTGTGGTTACATAATAGGTATGTATATTTTGGGGTACATGAGATACTTTGATACAGGCATGCAATGTGTAATAAGCACATCATGGTACATGGGGTATCTATCCCCTCACACATTTATCCCTTGTGTTACAAACAATCCAATTAAACTCTAAGTTGTTTAAAAATGTATAGTAAATATATTACTGGCTATAGTCACCCTGCTATGCTATCAGTTACTAGGTCTATTCATTGTTACTATTATTTTGTACCCATTAACAACCCCCACCTCTCCCTGACCACCCCACTACACTTTCCAGCCTCTAATAACCATCTGTCTATTCTCTATCTCCATGAGTTCAATTGTGTTAACTGTTAGCACCCACAAATGAGAACATACAAAGTTTGTTTTCTGCTTCTGGCTTATAGTTCTTGTAATTTTTTTGCATATTCAACTTTTTGTCATTTTTTTCCTTAAATTTATTTAAAATATATATATAAAATAATGTACAATTATTCATATTATGTCTACATATATGCTCAAAAACACATAGAAAACAGAAAAAAAAAGTCCCCCTAATTCTATCTCTGGCATTTTATCTGTTCTTTTAAACAATCACATTGATAACTATATGTTAAAGAGCTTTAATAATAAAATATGCAAATTTGGGGGTGGTGATTTTGGCTTTCTGTTTCTTACAGTCATAGTAACTGTGGCTTTCATGGGATCAAAATGTTGTGCTGGAGAAATGTCTAGTTGTATGCCTTCACTTGAGGCACATAATGGGTAAGAGGCTCTGTTTTCAAAATACCTGGGCTAGAATTTATTACCTGTGGGATCATGAAGTGGGGGATTTTCTATCCTCTCATGCTTTGACTTATCTTTAAAAGGATAGAACCCACATTCTAGGGTTTGTTGTGAGACATCTATTAGTATTTTAATATATTTTAAGATTCTATTAGTATTTTAATATATGGATAGAGTCTAAAATTGGCCCTCTTATGTTATGACAACTCACCTATGTAGCCTTCAATAATTCTCCAAATATACCTTGTAGAAATACCAAGTATGTGGAGTAAGAAGCAAGAAAACTTTTGAAGAGTCGTAAGTCATATCACTCAATATGCAGACTAATTCCCAAGCACTTAATCCATTCAGGTTCCCATTCATAGCTATGGAATCTTGTTTTACATGTATTTCTAACAGCCTTTTCTCAGCTGTTAGTAGACTAGAAATAAATTAAGATTGTGTTTTTAAAAAGCAACATAAAACCAAATTGAATTAAAGTAAATTGAAAGACAAATAGTTTCAATGAAAGAAGTAAAATATTAATATAACAGCCTACAGGTAAGCATCGAAGCAAAGTATGAAAAATATACACAAAACCAAAACAGAACCACAAACACAGCACAGTGTAAGGTCATTTATCGTAATTGCTGTATCAGATCATAAGACAATAATATGAATTCTGCCTAAATTATCTATGACAGTTTAAATGATGTTCAATATGTTCTCTTTATACACAGGAAAGTATATAATAAGTTTTTAAAAAAAATAACAAAATAGGCAAGATTTTTATTTTTAAGTGCCTTTTTATGAGTTAGAAACAAATCATAAAACAAATTGTTCAAAATAACACAGTCACAGAAGGTTTAAATTTTGTTTCAGAGACAGCCACAGGCTTGTGAAGTTCTGTGCCTAATTCTCCTGGTGAGTCCTCACAGATACACTGACTAGGGAAAGCTTGAAGGGGAATAGATAGGACAGTCATCCTAGCAACTTCATCCTCTGTCCTACAATAGAATTGTAAAACGAAAGAAATTCATCTTTGAAAATTTTGAAAATTTACACATTATATCCTTCATGTACCACTTTTTTATAATACTTAAATTAATGGTGCAGGCTCATATAATATGTTACTTCTTGTCACTAATTTTAATTAAAAAATTTAACTCTTTTTTAATTCATTTTTTATATTGCTCATTCATTGTAGAATATCCCACTTTTACTAAGGCAAGACTATTCTCTCAAGGGCTATCATCCCACAGAAACCATAGCAGCTTAGTCAAGAAGAGACCAGAACCATTGGTTCTACATTCTGCTCCATTAAGCAAGGCAAAACTGTAACATCACAATGAAACGCTCAGCTGTATAATTTATTCAGTGAAATGGTTATATTTATTCATTTCAACAACATTACAATTATAATTATCAGCTCCTTCCAATGTTTACATAATAAAATTCTTTTATTAAAATATGTGTTAGTAATACTTCTCATTCATGCCTCTCCAGACATGGTAGGAGATTGTTTAAAATTTTTAATAAAAATGAGTATAAGAGGGTCCTCATGCTTATACATTTTTTACTTAATTCAACGTAAATGCTAAAGAAAATATTTCAGTAATGAAATAACAAAATTGTAAATATGTTTACTATTTATACATGCTTAACATATGTGAAGCTATAAAAATAGAAGAAATTTTACCTACAGACATTTATTTGACTGTTAAAATAGTGAGTAGAGTTTTGATTTCTTTTTTCCCCTTTAATGCGATTTCTTAAATTGCCTGAAAATACTGCCTGACAAAAGTGCTCTGGCTAATACTGTAATTTAGAAGAGCATTGAAATGTGCCCTCAGCTAGGAAAGTCACAGGTTCTTAGTTCTCCTCTTACTTGTGCAATAGGGAGTTTATAATGGAAATGACAACACACCATTAACTATAGCACTGCTTGTGGGCATTGATATAAATATCATTACAGATTAAAGACCTCTGCAAGAATTTAGTCAAGTAGGATTAGCAAATAAACTATTAGAGGTGAAGATTAAATTGTGATAGACAAAATAAAGTAGATTTTCTGCTATATTCTCAATTTCATTTGTTTCCCAGAATGGCAACAATTCTTCTTAGTTTGTAAAGTGCCTCGTATATTTGCCCTGCAGCTAGAAAGTGCAGCCAAGAGGTGTGGAAGAAAACCTGAGGTTATGACTGACAACGAAAGGATAGGAGAGAGGGCTTAGGACTCAGTATGTCTCAGTTGTGACTCATAGCCTTTAAGCCATTTACAGAAGCTGAAATTTCAGAGCTATTAGGTGCTGTACATATCCACAATCCTGAGAAATATAAGGTGATATTTTAGCCTTTTGGACTTCATGGCCTTATAGGATCCTGTTGCCAATCTCCTATGTTTTGAAATCTCATGTGATAGTTTTAAGAAGCTCAAAATAGCAATTTGAATACATATTTACCAGTAGTACTGACTTGATCTACAAGAATATAGGTATGTGTTATGATTTGAATATTTGCATCCCCCCAAAATTCATATGTTGAAACCTAATTGCCAGTGTGAATGGTATTAGAAGATGAGGGCTTTGGGATGTGATTAGCTCATGAATTCAGAGCTCTCATCAGTGGGGTTAGTGCCCTAATAAAAGGGAGCCCTTTCACTACGAGCAGACATGATGAGAAGGCTCCATCTATGAAAAAGTGCATCCTCACCAGACACTGAATCTACTGGATCCTTGATCTTGAACTTCCCAGCCTCCAGAACTGCAAGAAATAAATTTCTGTTTGTAAGCTATTCAGCTTACAGTACTTTTCTATAGCAGCCTGCACTGTAACTTAGAAATCTAAGACAGTATTAAGCGGGTGTATTGGCATGTGTGTGAAGAGATATATTTGTGAACATGTGTGTGTGTTTCCCCCAAGGAAATTTATTTTTCTCAGTTTAGATTAGCCTATGATTGATTTTGTTGTTATGGAGACCATGACCCATGTGGGCAGTGACATTTTTATCTTATTTTGGGCAAGTAAAAATAAAAATCACACCTATGTCCAACTTGATTTTTTTTTTTTTTTTTTTTTGAGGCAGGGTCTCTCTCTATTTCCTAGGATGGCGTGCCATGGCACAATCTCAGCTCACTGCAATCTCCACCTCGGTTCAAGTGATTCTCCTTCCTCAGCCTCCCCAACTTGATTTTTAAATGCATTCACATCTTTGGAGACTATGGCTTCCATTTATATTCCTACTTTGGTTTCATGTGCTAAATTTTTACTTATTCCTAAATTATGCAGTAATACAATTATCTATGTGAATACATCAAATTACTCTAAATAAAAATTAATTATGTTAATTGATTTATTAGTTTTCTCAGCCATCCACTTAATTCAGGAGTTCAAAGACTGTACATGCTATACCTGTGAAATAAAGTTCCAAATCTACTCTTCCGAACATGTCTGTGAATCCGGGAAAAGGAGTTATACGAGGGCAATTACAGTACAGTTAGCTGCTTCTCTAGGTTGTCCCCTTCAGAGAGAAAACTGAAAGTGACACTGAGAGCCATGGAAGGCTCCAGCAAAGTGACATCATATTGAGACATGAACTGATGGATGAAATCAAATACATACACACAGAGGATTCTTAGTTTTATATCTTTTTTTTTTTTTTTTTTTACTTTTTGTCAAAAAGAGATAAGGAACTAAAAACTTTGAGGCCACTGACTCATCAAGTTGTTATAGTGGTGACAATCTATAGTGGAAAAGAGAAGAGACAGATACTATATTAAAAAAAACTGGTTTATCATAGTACGTGGTGGCAAGACTAATTAAAACCAGCCAATCAACAAATCCAAACAAAAGTTGATGCAAGAATTGAGGTGCCCAACATCAGGCTAGAGTTTGTGGGGACAAAAAAAAACCTAATGACTAAAATTTAATACAAATTATGTATTTGTTAATTAATAATGCAAGACTGATAACATCTAGTCACCCTAAGCTTCATCTTCGGAGAACAATGCCAGGAAGTGAGGGATTGAGCAGTGAGGCAAGAGCACGAGAAATTTCCCCACTAGCTGGAGGAATGATGGTTTCCACGTGAATACATTTGGAACTAGCATGCATTTTGATTTTATGTGAGAACAGAAGTTTTGAGTAAACTAAATACCTTTCTTTATGCACTAAAAGCACATATTTTGGCTAAAATAAATATCTTTAATTGTCAAAAACTAAATTATATGTTAATTTAATGAAAAAGATACATTAACTACCCATAATACAAATTTGGCATTATTTTAAGTAAAAAATATATACTGCTTCTTATAGACCAGGCATGTTCTAAGTGATTCGCCAACTATTTTTAAGACATTTAATCCTTGGGATAATGACATGAAATTGTTATTATTAAGATCCTATTTTTACAGATAATGTGTGTGAGGCCCAGATCCCCAGTAGTGGGCTGCAGGACTGGATTCAAACCCACGCAACTTAAATCTGTAAATATATTAGTTCATCTCTAGGGCTGAGGGCAAAAAAGCACATGAGAATACATTCATGTAATGGCCTCTGTATTCTTTGGGATGCTCAGGAGTTGGGTTAGGGCTTTTGCAGAGCAGTGGTGGGCCAGATGTAGGAGAATTTGAAATACTTGTAATTGTCCTTTAACTTCAATGTCTCATACATTTATTGATGTAAGGAATTATATTTACTGTATGTTCTCAAAGCATATTCCATATACAGTAATGCAGATCAATTATAAAAAATTAATAGCCCTTAATTGAAGATGAAGGCAATATAACTATCTAAGACTTCATGAAGTCTGACAGCAATATCTACTTTTTATTATATTATACTATTTTATAATACTACACTGATTTATAAACCCTATTGCAACTTTTCCATTAGGGACATAAGTGTGATAATGTATATAAAGATACATGGATAGGACAATTATGTGTATATGTGTTTGAGAGGGTCTTTCTGTTTCTCTCATTACTATATTATACTTTTATTTTTGGGAGCTTAATCTTTTATAATGTCATAAAATTATAAATTTATATTAAAATATTTAATTTCTAGTTTTAGAGTGTTGTTTTGAATTTGGGTTCTAATATAGAGTCTAGTTTATTTAGACATCTTGAGAAAAATTTAGCCAGCAGAAAACATATTTTAAGTATTTATTTTTTGAGACAGAGTCTTGCTCTGTCACCCAGGCTGAAATGCAGTGGCACAATCCCGGCTCACTTCAACCTCTGCCTCCTAGGTTCAAGTGATTCTCCTCCCTCAGCCTCCTGAGTAGCTAGTATTACAGGCACCTGCCAAAAAGCCTGGCTAATTTTTTGTATTTTCAGTAGAGACAGGGTTTCACCATGTTGGTCAGGCTGGTCTCGAACTCTTGACCACAAGTGATCTGCCCACCTCGGCCTCCTAAAGTGCTGGGATTACAGGTTTCAGCCGCTGCACCCAGTCAAAACCACCCTTTAAAGAAAATTATTATAACTAAAATTATTTATGAACAAAGGAGTTTGAAGTTAAGATTTTATTTGAAGGAGGGAGCCATGGCCGAGTACTTGGAGAATTTTTTGGTACATTATGCAGAATAGGTTAGGCACATCATCTCTAAAATTAGGATATTAATAATGTCAATTTCATATTATTTTAATAATTAAATGCAACTGTGACAAATTCCTGTTAAAATATCATTAGTTTAATACGCTAAAGGTTGATTGCTCATTTACATACGATAGAAGTTTCACAGAATTTTACCCTATAGAACACATGGCTTCTGACATTACTGTGGCCTGAGAATAAATTGTTGGGGAAAGTACACCATTTCTTAAAGTCCCCACATCGAGAGAAAAAAACACATGACTTATTCTCTAAATCAATTGGCTAGAACTAGTCGCAAAATATCAACCTAATTTCAAAGTATTATGGAAAATATAGGAGAGCACATGGAAATATTTTAAAGGTTAGAGAAAATAATTATTTTTCTCTCTCTGCTCCAAAAAAATACTGAAAAGAATACAAATCGTGATAGGCAAGAACTAGAAGAAAGATAAAAAATAGAAAATATTTTTCTTTATTTTTAAAAATATAGTACATTGTAATGATGCTATATGTTTTTATCTTTTAAAAAATGAAAGCTAATACAAATTTTCTAATATATTTGTTAATTATATTTTGAAAAAATAGGATAAGTGAAATTGAGGAGGTCTTGAAACTGGAAACCAGACAAAATAGCAGATGCAGAAAGAAAGGCATAAAAATATTAGAACTTGAATAGAGATTAGCTGACTCAAGCAGTGACTAAAATTATTGAGTCAGCTATACAACTATGAATTTAGAGTTTTTCTTTAATTATAAATTATTATTGATGGAGAAATGCAGAGGGCTGAAAGTAGGCCAGCTATGATATAACAAAAGTTGCAAAGCAAGAGGACAAATATATCCACTATAATAATCAAGGCCCCACTGCTCTCCAGGAAGAAACTTTATTTTCATAAAAAGAAAAAACATAATTAAGAGAAAATAAGCATTCTCTCCTTCAAAAGTAAGTTCATCTTAACCAATAAACTGATGCAACAGGTCCTGGATGGTTGAGAAACCACCTCATTATGATTCTGAGTATTAATTATTACCATATACTAGATAAACACAGGAGTCAGAAAGGATTCAGTATGATGACATAGCTGGGCATACACCTTAAGTCTACCAGTTAGATATGTGGACATGAGCATATTAATTAGACACACTAACCGTTGTTACCCTTCCCTTTAAATTGAGAAAAAATAATAGCTACCAAATAAGTTTGTTATCTAAATTTAAGAGAGATTGTATGTAAATTCCCTGACACAATGCTCTTGTATAGGAGGCATTAAAATGGATCTCTATACAGTAGACATTAACAAAAATAATAAAAATAAAAATAAATGAAAGCTTAAAACATAGGATATTGTGGGAGTACAGATTGGGTGTGCATTACAGTGGCAAATTTCCTTCACAGATAATTTCTTCCCAAATTCCTACAACCATACAACATGTGTTAAAAATACTATTTCTTTTGTAGGGCAAGCACATGAGATCATATGTAATGGAATTGCCTCTTCAAAACTCGAGGGGAAAAATGATGTTGGAATTTTTTTTTCTGTATGAGCCAGTGTTCTCCAGAGAGATACTGTGTAGAAATATAAATATATTAGATATATAGAGATAGATAAACATATGAGGGAATTTATTAGGGAAATTGGCACATGTGATTATGGAGGCTGAGAAGTCTATGATAGGCCATTTGCAAGCTGAAGACTCTGCGATGCAAATATTATGGCTCAGTCAAATCCCAAAACCCCAGAACCAGGGAAACGGAGGGTGTAATTCACAGTTTGAAGCCTGAGAACCTGGAGAGGTGCTGGTGTACTCCAGAGCCTGGAGTTCTGATGTACCCGCCCACATTGAGGATGGATCTACCGAACCCAGTCAGTCCATCAACTCACAGGCTAATCTTCTTTGGAAACACTCTCGAGGACATACCCAGAAATAATGCTTTACCAGTTCTCTAGGGATTTCTTAATCCAGTCAAGGAAACACCTAACATTAATCATCACATTCTCTCTCAAGTTGAAGCACACGGTCAAGTTTTTTGATTAGTTATTAAGTGGCCAGTAGGGAGTCAGCTAATTTGGGGACTTTTGGTTCAAAAGGAAAAACATTGATTTCAGCAGAGGAGCAGCAAAATGCATTATTTAATTTAATACAACTTTTGTATTTATAAAATTTCAGACCTGTTGGAAACAAGCCTAAGACATCAACTGTCCTGGTAGTATTAATAAGTTTGTTTGAAAATCAAATCATTATATTAATATAAATTTATCACAAATGAAAATTACTGAGTTAATGGTTATGATTTTTTTCTAATTTACTAAATATATACCTTTGATATTAATATGAAAACTGTAAGAATTAACTTATATCTAAAATGAGAATTATTTGGTATATTGTATCTTCTTTAAAGGCTTAAAGTCAACACTTTGAATAATAATTTGTTCATAACTCATGCAATAATAAATACTAATATTTAAAATAATATTTAATTAAAATAAGTTGATTCACTGCTTTAAAAGCTGCAGGAAAATCTTGTGACTTAATTTCTGTGTCAATAGAATATCTGTTTCTATTGAAGGACCTTTATCAGAGTAAAAACATAATGCTGTATTAGTCCATTCTCACACTGCTAATAAAGACATATTCGAGACTGGGTAATTTATAAAGGAAAGAGGTTTAATTTACTCACAGCTTAGCATGGCTGGGGAGGCCTCAGGAAAGTTACAATCATGGCGGAAGGAGAAGCAAACGCGTCCTTTTTCACTTGATGGCAGAAAGTAGAATAATGAGGAAAAGCAGAAAAAGCCACTTATAAAACCATCACATCCTGTGAGAACTCATTCATTATCATGAGAACAGCATAAGTGTAACCGCCCCCAAGATTCAATTACCTCCATTGGGTCCCTCCCAAGACACGTAGGGATTATGGGAACTACAATAAAATCAAAACACTTTGAATAATTTTTTCCTAGCTCATGCAATAATAAATACCAATATTTGAAGTAATATTTAATTAAAATAAGTTGACTTACTGATTTAAAAGTTGCATGAAAATCTTGTGACTTAATTTCTGCATCAATAGAAAACTTATTTCCATTGAAGAACTTTTATCTGGGTAAAAACAAAATATAATGCATAAAGCTGCAACCTGTATTTTCTTCCAGTTTTATTTATTTATTTATTTATTTATTTTATTTTTTTTGAGACGGAGTCTTGCTCTGTCGCCCAGGCTGGAGTGCAGTGGCATGATCTCGGCTCACTGCAAGCTCCGCCTCCCGGGCTCAAGCCATTCTCCTGCCTTAGCCTCCCGAGTAGCTGGGACTACAGGTGCCCACCACCACGCCTGGCTAGTTTCTTTCTTTCTTTTTTTTTTTTTTTTTGTATTTTTAGTAGAGACTGGGTTTCACTGTGTTAGCCAGGATGGTCTCGATCTCTTGACTTTGTGATCCAGCCACTTTGGCCTCCCAAAGTGCTGGGATTACAGGCCTTCCAGTTTTATTTTTATAATTCTTTGGGTTAGTAAGATTCAGCAGCTTTGATTCCATGTATTTACATGTGCGTAAATTGATAATGGAATAACCATAGAGTTTTCCCATGGAAATTCTCTAGAAACAATACAATTTTATGTGGGAAAGTTTGGACTCTTTCAGTTTGGAGAGGGGGCACCTTACAGTTTCCTGAGAACTTAGTTCAGATTTAAGAAAAGCTAATGATTATTTTTTAAAGGTCACCATCCTCAGGAGATGATAAAGGAGGTGTCTATGCTATAGAAAGTGCTGGGAACTGCTGGATTGACTTTAAAACTCTCCAGTACCTCAGATCAACTTCATGCCTCTGGGCTCTCCTGATCATAATAATCATTGGTGGAAAATAAATAAATGTTGTTTTGTATCCTTCACCCAAGACATAAGTCCATTCTTAGGTACCATCTTTGTTTAGAGTAAGATTTCATGGGGTGGATCTTGAATAACCAAATTTTCTTTCATTTTAAAACAAGCTTATACTGCTTAAATTAGGCAGCAAAACTTCCAGCTTTGACACAATTGGAGGAGGGAAAGTACAGAAGTTTTATATATCAATTTGGCTATACTATAGTATCCAGGTATTATTAAAATGCAAACCTAGGTTTTGCTATGAAAGTATTTTGTAGGTGTGATTGATCAGTTGACTTTTATTTAGGTAAAAAGAGATCACTCTCTGTAATGTGAGTGGGCCTCATCCAATCAATTGAAGGCATGAAGAACAAAAACTGAGGTTTCCTGGGGAAGGAGCAATTCTGCCTCAAGACTCAGCATCATCTCTTGCCTGAGTTTCCAGCTTACCAGACTATCCTACAAATTTCAAAATTGCAAAACTCCCATTCACATGAAACAATTCCTTAAAATATCTATTGATTCTGTTTTTTGGAGACTACTAGCTATCAGTACAGAAATAACCATAACACTAGTAATTATGGAGTGCAGGGGACATGCCAGGGATTGTCACATATGTAATCTCATTGCTGTCTGACAGCAGTCCAGTGAAGTATGCATTCATTGTATAACAAACAAATGTCTACATATCATGAACTATGATAAGGTCTGGAAACAGGACATCAAAAAAAAAACCTCCTTTTTCTCAAGGAGTTCACAGAGTGTGGGGAATTTCAAAGATATGTACAATACAGACTAGTAAGAAGATACATGGTAATGAGTTCTTTAATAGAAATAAATGTACATTACTGTTGGAAGACAAAGAAAAAGAGCCATCAGACTTTTGTGGTTTAGGGTGGACTCACCAGAGGAGGCTGAAACATGATAGTTGAGTTGAAGCTTACCAGGGTAAATGAGGAAGAAGCTTCTAGGCTGAGGAAAAACATAGAAAATGTCTGGAATATGCTGAACATGAAGATATGGGAGAAGTGTGGCATGACAGTAGTATTGTAGAGGTGAGACTGAAGAACCAAAGGTCAAGAAGCTTCTTTTAATCCAGACTTATGATCTTCAGCTTCATTCAACTCATTTTTATCTATGAGGAAATAGATACTGAGATATTAGTGAGCTAACTTGCAACATTTTCACAATTAGTAATAGCAGATCAGATTTCTGACTCAATATCTTAGACTGAGCGTAATAAAGTGTGAACAAGCATATGAAAACTGAATAAGTATATCGACAGCAACACTTCTCACAGAATGGAAAAAAACTGATGGTCAGAGACAGTAATTTACCAAACAGGAAAAGTATATGGGGTCGTATGAAGGATAAACAAGAACAGAGGATGTTCCAAGGGAGACCACATGAAGCAGAAACCTGAGGGAAAAGTGCAAGGAACAGGAATTGGTTTAAGCAATTTGGATTTTTTTTAACTCCTCTGATTTCTTTATCTCTCTGGGTTTACTTTATTTAGGGGGTTAATTTTTTATTAATCTTATTTACTGCATTAATATATTGGTCTTTGTCTCTGTTCATTGTGTTTTTCTATTTATGCATTTGTTTTCTTTTTAGAAAATTATGTTTAAAGATTTCAGGACTTCTTCTTTATTAATTATCTTATTTATTGGATGCCCTTTTTACTTTTACAAAACAATCTTTTATGGGCACAATACACTTTTGAACCTCTTTGAAGCTATCAGCAAGTACTTTTAAAATGAGTTATTGTTCTCTTTTTCACTTTGCTCCTTTTTCATGGTGTCGTTTTTCTTCACCTCTTTCCAGGTCTGTGGCTAGTCTCCTCCCAGACATTGTGAATGGATGTTTATCATAATTAGTGTACACAGCTGGACTTCCTCTGCTAATGTCAAGTATAGGTCTCTTATTGTATTTCTCTGCTTTAGCATGTTTGATTGCAGGCTCTAAGAATAAAGGGAGCATTTTTAACTGGCTGACTTCACTTTGAGGTTCGCAAATTGTGAACAAGCAGGAAAGATGGGTTCCCTCAAAAGCCCAAATCTTGCTTGTATTGTTCTCTGTGGGGTCAGGCATGTAAATGTAATTCTCTTCTGGATATTCCTTTTCTCTTAAGGGTTCTCCTTTCTTTCACGAAAGTCTGGGTTTCCCTCAGTCTCTGCCATGGTTCTCTCCTTCTGAGGTTAACACCCTAACTGTCTTCTCAGGCAGAGCTTTTCTAAAAACCTCTCTTTAGAGGACAGGTGTTTGGGGGATGCTCAATGGACAAACTCTCCACTACCAGTGCCTCAGAAATAGTTGTGGGGTGTCAGGCCAACTTAGATATTTTTGTGATAGTTATCTAATTTACCCTGAGTACTAGCCCAAAGCCCATTTGTAATTTTAGAATTACTTACCTTAAATTTAGAGTTCTTCAGAACTCTGTGGGAAGAACTGTTAGCTTAGAGTAAGTTTCCATTTATATTATATATATATATATATATATACACACATAAATATATTAATATATAAATGAAAATAAAATATGTAATATACATATATATTTAATATATTATACATTACATATAATTAAAAACTATATGTTAATATATACATATATTTATATAAAATAAACATAAATGCTATATATACTTTTATATATTATATAATAAAATAAATATATATTTTATTTTCATTTATATATATATAAAATTTTTTCTTTCCCGATTTAGAAAGATATAAACTAACATGGATGCTGATGAAACTATTTAGAAGAAAAAAATGGCAATTTGGTTCACAAATCCTGCTGAGGTGCATAAATCTCAGAAGGCTGCTATGATGAGAGATAAGTACAGATTCCAGACAGCAATGAAATTAGGCTCACAAGGTGAATGTCAGTATCAGTCTATTCAGGCTGCTATAACAAAACATCTTAAAATGGGTGGCTTGTAGACAACAAATATTTATCCTAGTTCTGGAGGCTGAGAAATTCAAGATTAAGGTGCTGGCAGATTCAGTGTCTGGTGAGGGTTCATTTTCTGGTTCATTGATAGTGCCCTCTGTGTGTTCGAATGGTGAAAAGCAGGATGCAGTTCTCTGGCACCTATTTTATAAGGGCACTATTCCCACCCCAGTAAAGCTCCTCACTTAGGACTTAATTACTTCCCAAATTCTCTTTCTTCTAACTCTCTCACATGGGTGATTAGATTTCAATATATGAATTTTGGGGGAACATAGTCATTCAAATTATAGCAGTCAGTTCACTTAAGAAGGAACAGCCCTGGTCTTTATGCTTTAATAGCAACAGAGAGGGAAAGGGAAAAATGTACCAAGGGAATAACTTAAGGAAAAACAAAACAAAAAAACAAAACCCCCAGTAACACGACAGATAAAACATTCCATACATAAAATAATAACATAGCACTTTGAACAAATGGACAATAAAAGAACAAGAAAATGCTTTTAAATACAATATGATTGTTACATTTAATAAAGTTTAAAGATAAATTTAAGGAGTTCTAAAAGTAGAACAAAAAATGAATATGGACAGAGAGAAAGATTAAAATATTAGAGTATCAATTCAGGAAGTTCAATGTTCTATTAGTAGGAGCTCCAAAAAAAAAAAAAAAGAAAGAAAAAAGAAAGAAAAGTAAAATACAGAACGCCTAGGAGAAGAGGAGAGAAAACCATCAAGAAATGAATACAAGAAAAACTCACAAAAATAAAAGGCATAGGTATTAATTGAATAGCACAGTTAATAAAAAAGACTCCCTATCAGGCAGGTTGTTATGCGATTTTTAACACCAGGGATAAAATGAAGACACTAAAAGTTTCCAGGAAAAAAGAGTATATAAAGGATTAACAATCAGAATGGCACTGAATTGGACTTCTTAATAGCAACCCGGGAGACTAAAATAATGGAACAATGACTTCAATATTTTAAGGGAAAAATAATTTTCCACCTAGAATTCTGTGTAAGCCAACTAATCAATTAAGTTTAAAGGAATCATTAAGATACTTAAGAAATATAGGGACTTGTAAAAGTTTTCTCTCATGTAACCTATTATGGGAGTTGTTGAAGTGCACTAAATGACATGAGCATATGCCAAGAAAGAAGAGAGCCTCATAACCATCAAACAGTGGGTCTAGTATAAAAATAGAAACATGACAGATCAGTACTATAATTGGGGAGCAAGCCAAATCGGAGCAAAAGGACTGAGGATCCCAGGATTGAGATCTCTGTGGAGCAAAGCAGGAAACTCAATAATATATCTTATATAGGCACATTATTCTTTTTTAAAAAAAGGTATTAAGGATATGGGGATTTCAAAATATGTGATAAAAATGAGGAAATTGAAAACAATATTTGAAAAATAAAATAAATGTGATCGTGGTACACTAATTAACTCTGCAGTGAACTAATTAATGATTTAACTAAAAATAATGATAGAGACTCTATTGAGAACTGAGAAGAGGAAACAGTATAAGTGCACTAAAATTTCCTATGTCATAACAGAAAGCCGTGTGAATGTGTTATAGGAATTAATTTTGCACTCATATATATATATATATATATATATACACACAGTAATTTTATATGTATACTCACACTAAATGCAGAAGCCATACTCAAATACATGTACTTAACCTTGACTTCACATGGCATTCTGACTTATTTTAGTTGTGCGACCTTGCTGGCTAAATATCTAACTTTTATTTTCTTCACTGTAAAATGAAAATACATATAGAATTGACTTCAGAGAGTTAAAATAAATTTAGCATAATGAATGTAACATACTTGCATACTGCCTGAAATACGCATTCTCAATAAACACTAGCTTTTAATTAGTAGCAATTGTATGAAGTTTTCCTTTATTCATGTATTATGTCAATCCAAGTGCACTTGTTTCTATCCTAAAGATATATTCAAGCATTCTGGTCTACTACTAGATTCCTTTGTTTTTGCTGCCTAGTATATTATGCTTTTATTCTTGTTACTGTTATTCTGTCATTTCAATGGCCTTGACATTAGGAAAGTTGCATATGCTTAATCAGCCCATTGGAATCCAATGCCCTTCTCTAAACAAGTGAATACACACACACACACACACTTATACAGTTAATACTACAATCATAAAATCAGTTGAAGATGGGATTTCTCAACAGTGAAATATGAATACTAACAGCTGTTACTGTATTTAACCTTTCGCTATATTCTAGAAATGTTATTCAAAGTACCTCAGTCTCTACAGCCCTTCAAACTAGTTGTTATTTTATTTTCATTTGCTCATAGGAAAGCTGAAGTGAAGTGAATTGAAATCATTTTCCAGGATTATACAACTTGTCACTATTTAAGCTCAGATTTGGACATAAATTTATCTAATTTTTTAATACATTACTTTTGATGTTACACTATCTTAGGATTTAATAACATTTAAGCATGTAAGAATAAAGTTACAGGCCTTTTGTGAGTTAATGATTTTATATTAGACTAAAGCAATTCTAAACATATAAAAATATAATATGTAGCAGGGAGAAAATAAGCCTTTTCACAATTACTCTATCAAGAGTAAATATGCTATTATGATGACATACTATTTTTGAATGTACATAATAAGATTATGTATCTCTCAGTTTATTAATGAAAATATTCTGGTACTCAATAATACTAAGTGATTCAAAAATTTTCCCTTGATTTTTTAAAACTGTCACAATTTTCTGATTAGAAAAGGACAAAAACAGAATACCTGATATAAGCTTTTTGAAAACAATGCTTCTCTTTAAATTTTGCTTTTAAGAGAAAAAAATAACATTGGTAGAGGAGAAAATTAAATATTAAGAAAGGAGTGTCAGTAGCAATGCTGCTGCCAAATGCATTTACACATCACTAAACTTTCATGCAATAAGATGTTTTTGTTTTTTCTTTTTCAATTCATTAGTGCAATGCTGTGGAAACAAGCTATCAGTACAAACAAGAAAAATATTTTTGTTAAAGTGATTCAGATTCTTAGATTATGTTGTTATCCAATTTTGTATAAAGTGAAAAGGTAGGTGAAACATTGCTAACAAAAGTTCATGAAGATAAATTTACTCTTTCCTGTTTGATCAAATTCTTCCCTTAAACAGTTGGAGAAGAGAAACGTTTATAATAAAAACAATGTAAGCTGATATCTGCAAAACTTTCAATTCAAGCTACTGAAATTATGACTTTATCATAAACACACTATAGAAGAATGAGTCATGAAATAGTTATTTATTCAAAGATACAAATTGCCCTAAAAAGTAATAACAAACTAAAGTTTCAGCTGCAAATATGGAAACGTTCTAGTGGAAATCATGATGAACAATCCTAATAAGCCAACTATATGCCAATACATTCGATCTCTCCAGCACACCACTCAAATTCTGAATTTCTTTCCTTTCTCCTAATTAACTCCTGAAACCATACCCCTCTTGCAAGTTACAGTTAAAAATTTCATTGCCTTTTCTGTATATAGTCTAATAAATGCTCCACCCTCCTTCAACCTTTTTTGGTACCTATTTATTACTTGGGGCATTTTCTATTTTCCATCTTAGTTGTTTGTGTATGTTTTACATCTACAGTTAGGGTTCATACTCTTAGAAAACAAGTTCTGCATGCCCATCACTGTGGTGTTTCCTAACAACACCCCAAACCCCCGAAGAAACATATGCATTATTAACCAGAAGACTGTGAAAGTAATAACCACTTAATCATTTTTCTTCAAAGAAAATAATCGAATTTTGTTTGGAAAAAGGAAATTTATGTTTAGCAACAGATATAACAAATGTGTTCAGGGACCAAAGGGGAAAAGTGGGTTTTTGAGGGTTTTTTTTGTTTTAAATTAAAAATTAGGTCAGGCATGGTGGTTCATGTCTGTAATCCCACACTTTGGGAGGCTGAGGCAGGATTACTGCTTGAGTCTGGGAGGTCAAGAGCTCAGTGAGCCGTGATTGTGCCACTGCACTACACTCATCTGTGTGTGTGTGTGTGTGTGTGTGTGTGTGTGTGTGTGTGTGCTGTGAGTTCTGAAAAGTGAAAAAGTATAGACACAACAATTGAGTATCTCAGTGGAATTTCTGTCTTCTACATATAGAATAGAGAGAGCCAGAATTAGAAATTTTTGGACATAACAGTAATGCCCCCCCTGTGAGAAAAAACAGATATCATGAGGAATAAAGGAAGTGAACCTAGTGGAGCCCCACTAATATCCCTTCACTTTGCGGCATGAGGATAGGAAGCACTGATGGGTCATAGCAAATCAAGAGGAACGTAATCACTGGCAATTCTAGCAAGACAGCTAGGTACAAGAGGCTACACTTCTTGGAGAATCTAAATTGGCAATAGATCTTGGTTTATAATCTTCAGAGACCACCAGAAAAAAAAAAAGACACAAACGGAAGGCACTGCTAAAGCTGGTTTCTAAGGATAACTACCGTGCCCCATAAAGAATGGAAGCAGTCAAGTACCAAGGCGGAATGCCAAGCCAAACATGGTAGAGGGAAAATCTAGGAGAGAAGACCACACTTTTTGTTTGGATGACATTGAGTTTTAGCCACTTCAGTTTTCTCCTCAAGCTGCTGGATATATGAACCAAATAAATAAACCACAGAAAATCAAATATTTTGCTTCTTCATTTGTCTGGGTCTGAAAGACATAAATATAATTCATCTCAAATATGAATGCGAGGAAATCACAATGAAGAAAGTAACAAGAAAAAGAAACTCATGAGTATATACAAATGCTATATTTTAAAAGAAAGAAACCACTCCGAAGGTCAATTTTAAGCAGTGTTATCATAAGAAGCAATGTTTAGAAAATGTCTCATTCAAGTTCTCAAACACAATTCAATGCAAGTCTAATGACTTTCTGATCAGGAAATAGAAAAGACAGTATGACTGCTTAAACGAAAACCACAAAGGAGATGAGACTACCAGATTATACTTTAAATAAAATGCAACTAGTGAAATAAATAACAACTTTAAACAAATTATCTCAGAAGTCAGAGGGGAAAAATGGAATACTGATTAAGATGAGCCAACCCAGAAGGAGGAAACAAAGCTGACAGAGAGTATATAATAGCAGATTAACAGTATTTTCAAAAATCTTCCTGTATTAAATACTTGAATTTGCACATAGGAAGGGTTCACAGAGGAATATTAATTAAAAGATACACAAACTTAGACATACCTTTGTGAAAGTGTAGCACTTTTAAAAATCCAAAATAAGAATCCCTATACATTTCCAAATTAAAAATTATGCACTTAGAAAAGGGGGGAATATCTGGCCAACTTTAAACTCCCTGGCAATAAGAATGCCAAAGACAATGGGGATTAGGAAACAATATTTCTAGATATAGCAAATGTGTTTTATTTTTGATATAGTTTGTATGACTCTCCAAATCTCATTGAAATGCAATCCCCACTGTTGGAGGTGGGGCCCAGTGGGAGATGATTGGATCATGGGGGCAGATCCCTCTCACCTTGGTGCTGTCCTTGTGATAGTGAGTTCTTGTGAGATCTGGTTGTTTAAAAGTACATGGCACCTCACTGTTCTCTCTCTGTCTTACTCGTGGTTTTGCCATGTGACATGCCTGCTCCTGCTTCGCATTCTGCCAAGGGTAGACCCTCTCTGAGGCCTCCCTAGAAGCCAACCAGATGACAGTGCCATGCTTGTCCAGCCTGCAAAACTGTGAACCTATTACAACTCTTTTCTTTATAAACTATTCAGCCTCAGGTATGTCTTTATAGCAACACAATAATAGCCAAACACAATTTTCTTACGTAGAGAGGCAAAAAATTCATAAATAAATGTAAAAATTATTCTCAGATAAGCATTGTCTAATAAAATATTGTATCCACATGTCTTTCTTAGAAAATACAAATATTCAATAACACTTTCCAATGTAAACTTAGAAATTAATTAAAGCCTAAAATCCTAGAGTGGGACTATATGTACTAAAAGAAACAGTAGTAGCCAATGTATCAAATGAAAAACAGATAAAAATCTGTGTAATCACTTTCATATTATAATAAACTTCATGCAAATATCTCAAAAAATTATTGTAGATTTTTTGTGTATAAAATGATATTACCATTAATGATAGTATCAAGCTATAATCTGTTTATATAAGCAAAAACTCAACAGAGGAAAAAGAAAAGCACAATGCTGTTGTACATGTAGCAAATACAGAACATAAATAGGCCTAAAATTTAACACTTAAACTAAGACATGGCATGTGAAATCAAATTCTTGAAATATGCTTAAGTTGTGAAAACTGCTCAAAATAAATTAAGTAAAAAAATCAACTTCTAAAGTGGTACAAACCATAATTACCAAACACACGTATACACACAAATACACACACAAGAGACAACTCAAAAATGTTAGCAGACTTTTTTTTAGGGTGGTAGGATCACTAGTGTTTACTATTTTCTTTTTTATGCTTCTGCATATTTCACAATTTTAAAAATATTTTATAATGAGAAAAGTATTTTCAATGAAAAAACCACTTTCAAAGAAATACAGATAAAAATCAAACTACTTTAATACATATGATAATTTCATTTAATTATTTTTAGTCCCTTTAATGTATAGAAATTATATCATTACTCTCAGTCTAATGGATACAAGTGTTCTATAAATGGCTCCATAAGCAGTTGTCTTAGCTGGGCCCAAGCAGTTATTGGCCTGGTGGAGCCAGGAACCAGACACTCCTGTGTATTTGCCCTACTGAATTTCCTAATGGGCTTTGTGTGTTTGCTTGCTTGCTTGCTTGTGTGCTTGGTTTGGCTAATGATCAGGAAATGCAGCATAATAGACAAAGAAGTCCAAAGACAGAGAATGGAAAACATTATGCTAGCTTCTCAGAGACAGAGGGGTAAAGTAGGATCCTATGGTTGTTTTGAGGCTTGTTAGAGTCAGTATAAATAGTGCTACCTGCAGAACTGAAGGACAAAATATACCATGGAATTGAAGAGAGGGACCGCATCTTTGATAATTCTTCCAGGGGTTCTGGAGCAGCTTTGGCACCTGAAGGCTTTGGAACCAAGGGCAGAGGACCCCCGTGCTCAGTGCAAAAATGAGACAAACAAAATCAGTCTACAGAGGAATAGTTCCATAAATGAGAACTGACATATAGATGGAGAAATTGTGCTAAGCAGTTTCTTGTGCACAAATTCGCGGAGAAAAGGGAAACTTGGAAAAACTTCGTAATAACTAACCATTAGACTGGGTCATGAGACGTCCTCTGAAACTCCCAACAGTTCTCCAATACCTTTCCATACACTTAAATTAATTGCCAACATCTAGCAGTGACCCATACATTTCTGCCTAATATGTCATCTGCCTTCCTTACCAACCTCATCTGTTACCTGCTCAACTGCACTTTTTCTAATACATCTTTGCCTGATGCATTGAAAGTTGTCTACTCTTGCTGCACCCATGTCTTTCTTTGTTAATATAATTCATTGTCATTATTCAATTTTCATTTCACCTTAGGTGAGATGAAATTTTCCTATGCATGCCCATAAAAGTATCCACTACCATCTTACACTCACCTCCCAAATCACTTTGTCAAGTTGTCGTACTTCTTAATTCACATCATTTTTTGTATCAGCTAATTCATCATTAATGTATTTGTGTACTTTCCTAAGATCTAAATGTCTCACTATAATAAAGATAGTAACTTTGTCTTCCTTTCTCCACAGTCTACCCATCTACCCAGGTGTTTTTTTGTTTTTGTTTTTGTTTTTTGTTTTTTGTTTTTTTGACAGGGTCTCCAGCTGTCGCCCATGCTGCCTCCTGGATTCAAATGATTCTCCTGCTTCAGCATCCTGAGTGGCTGGGATTACAGGCATGTGCCACCATGCCCAGCTAATTTTTGAATTATTAGTAGTGACAGGGTTTCACCATGTTGGCCAGGATGGTCTCGAACTCCTGACCTCAAGTGATCTGCCCACCTCAGCCTCCCAAAGTGGTGGGATTTCAGGCGTGAGCCACAGGTATTTATTTTTAAACCACTTTAAAAACTATGAAATATCAAAGTAATAAACAACATGCAGATTGAAAGAAAAAAAAAAAGTCAAACAATACTTTAAAGCCTTAAGACAAGAAGCTACTATTTCATGTTCTACCTTTCCCCACACTCAATTCTATTACCAAAACCAATTTTTCTGGCCTCTCAAACAGCTGAGTACACAAACCCCCCGGGGATTTTTTTAAGTGCACTTTTGACCCAGTGGATCTGTGGCAGGGCCTGAGATTCTGCATTTTCAACAAATTTGGAGGTGATGCTGATGTGGGTCTGTGGGCCACGCTTCGTATTTTTTAATTGGCAAACGAAAAATTATAGATATTTATGATGTACAATGTGAAATGTTGATATATGTATACATTGTGGAATGACTATATCAAGTAAATTAATATATCCATCACCTCACATACAATTTTTTTGTGGTGACAGCATTGAAAATCTACTTTCAGCAATTTTAAGTATATAATACATTATTATTAACTATAGCCACTCTGATGAATAGTAAGTCTCCAGAATCTTACGCCTCTTGTTAAACTGAAAATTTGTACCCTTTAACTGACATCACTCCATTTCCCACTCCCTCCACATCCCTAGAACCTGGTAACCAACATCCTTCTCTCTGCTTCTGTAAATTCATTTCTTTTAGATTCCACGTGTAGATGAGATCATACAGTATTTGTCTTTCTGTGTGTGTCTTATTTCACTTAGTACAATGCCCTTTAGGGTTCATCCATGTTATTTCCTTCTTTTTAAAGGTTGAATATTATTCCATTCTGTGTGTGCGTGCGTGTGTGTGTGTGTGTGTGTATCTTATATATCATAGTTTCTTTGTCATTCATCTGTTGATGGACAAAAGGTGATTCTATATATTGGCTATTGTGAATAATACTGCAATGAACATGGGTGTGCACATGTCTCTTTGACATACTGATTTCATTTTCTTTCCATATGTACCCAGAAGTAAACTTGCTGGATCATATGGTATTTCTATTTTCAATCTTTTTGAAAAAACACCATACTGTTTCTTATAATGCATTTACTAATTCACATTTCCACCAAGGGTATACAAGAATTCCTTTTTTTTTTCCCTATCTTCACTGACACTTTTTATCTTTTGACTTTTTGATAAAAGTAATTCTTACCAGTGTGAGGTAGCTCTTCACTGTGGTTTTAATTAGCATTTCCTGACGATTTGTGATGTTGACCACCTTTTCATATATATGTTAGCCTTTTTTATGTCTTAAAAATTTTCTATTAATGTTCTTTGTCCATTTTTTTTTTACTCAGGTTATCTGTTTTCTTAATATTGGGTTGTTTGAGATCCTTATATATTTTGGTCATTAATCCATTATCACATGTATAGTTCGCAAATATTTTCTCTCATTCTATATATAGGCTTTTTGGGGTTTTGTTGTTGTTCTTGTTTTTGTTATTGTTTTCTTTTGCTTTCTGTTGGTTGTTTCCCATACTGTAAAAAGCTTTTTAGTTTGATACAATCCTGTTTGTCTTGTTTTTGGTTTTATTGCCTCTGCTTTTTGGGTCATATCCAAAAAAAAAAAATCTAAGATCCAAGTCAAGAAACATTTTCTCTGTTTTTTCTTCTAGTAGTTTTATAGTTTCAGGCCTTACATTTAAGTTTTTAATCCATCTTGAGTAGATTGTTGTAGATGTGGTGAGATAATAGTGACTTAGGCTTCTTCATTGCTGCATAGCAGCGTCCTAAATGGTACCAGGAACTTACTAGTTTTCAATAAAATACTGGGAGAGGGAGAGGAGAAAAAAGATAGAAGATGGTTGATGAGGAGGTAGGAATGGATGAATACAAAGGTGAAATATAAAGTGTTTTTCGAGGAGTATGGCAAGAGAGATCAAAAGGGCCAAAACTAGGAAAACTGTGGGTTCACTGACATCACTGTCTACTGATAAGACCTGCGTAAACATGTCAGAGGTTCACCACCTAAAGGAGAATTAATAGTCATGTAAGGATTTACATAAGTTACATAAAAAACTAAAAATAATTATTTTCAGTAACTTTTCTTTCATTTAATTCAAAAACAAAGAGATACAATGTTGAAGGTAGTCTAAATATACTGCATACTTAAAATGTTTAGGTTTGTTGAGGATTTATGACTAAAATATCATTCAGAAACAAGAACACACTAACGTCCTCACAAAATGAAACATGGGACTCTTTTTCAGGTGCAGAAATGACATATTAACAGTAATGGAAAATTGTATACATTAGGAAAATATTATGCCCTGATTTATCAGAAGCCTTTAAAAATATTCCAAGTTAGCTGGGTGGCAAACACTATTATCATCATGTTATAAGGTATTTAAATTACTTGCTCAGAGGTATAAACAAAACAGGTCCCAGCCAGATGTACCACTCAGGTCTTGGTTTGCTAGCAGTGTTCTTAGCCATGCTATTTCCTAAAAAAGAAAGCTTCTGCATACCACTTCAGAGTTTCTCTGAGTGACCCTCAAAGATCAAGCATTACTACTTCATCATTATTATATAGTAACTTACATAAAAAGTAAAATCTTCAGTTATAGTGAGATATATGTGCATAATAAGTGTGCTAAGATGCTTATAGTTACTATGGTTCAAATATTTTATATTTCCTCTAGAATGTGTGATTCTTAGGAACACAATCTTTTCTTCCTTGAAGATATTACTTGTTTAATATAATCGCTTTGGATTTTGCTAATTCATTGGCCAGTGAGATTTGTGCTTTATTATTGTAAAGTTTAATAAATAGGTGCACTGGTCACATCCCTAACAAATAGTTATTGCAGTTCTGTTGCCTACCTCTTGCCAGAAACCCCGGGGTACACAGTGACCCTAGGAAAGTCAACCTGAGCATTCAGATGTTATTGCATCTTGATTTATCTATAAGAGTGACTAGGAAGAAATGGCCTGAGGATGGAGCATATTCATATAGGCTCCCATTTAATTTAAGTGAAATGTTTTCTAAGAGATGCAATAGGTTCCTAAGAAATTTGAGAAAATTCCCTAGGAAATGGAGAAGACAGGAACTATCTGAAGTATATCAAAATAACAATGGGTGATATATCTACGGTTGACAATCCAATGACTGCTTTGAAAAGTGAGTGGTTATTGATTATCTTGACTCCTTATATTCTGTACCAAAAAAGATTAGGAACAATTAAAATGGCCACTCAACATCAAATGAGACTACCGTGCTTATAAAAATGAAGCTTTCGAAATACAAAGAAGTTTTGTGGAAGAAGATATTTAGTTTTAAGTAATTATGGGAACTTTTAACTGGGGATACTCTGATTTGCAACCATTGGGCACCTTTCCTTCTCATGAGTAAACCCAGAGACAATATTAAAATAAGAAAATTTTACTTATCTTTTAATTTGATTGACTCATTTTGTACTTTTTACCCTGCTGGCTATTTTAAAAATACATTTCAAAACGATTGTGAAGTTTCTTGTCTGGAAAGAATAGATGCATTGTAATTTATAAAAGGAAACTTTCTTCTTCCATGAACAATCACATCCCATTGTTCATAACATTTATAATCATGTGTGGTTATGTACAAAAATCTTGAAAAGTACTGCTTTGCTTGTGTTATTTAAAGTTGCCAATTTGCCCAAGCTTATTAAAATCAAGGCTAAATCATTCTAGTGAGCAAAGTCTTAAAGATTTAGTTGCATGGTCACAGCCTAAGAATAAATTAAAATGTAAAACTTGAACTTGGGAGACATTTAAATGATCAAACTAAAGTGTTAATGCAGGATAAACCTAATCTTAGCAGTACAGGAATGAAGCTTTACTAGCAAGTCTCTTTCAGGAATCAATATATGTTAGTGAACAATATTAAGTGATGTGCTTAACAGCCCAACTATTAATACACTTAACCTGGTTTGTTCAAAAGAGAAGGTTTGGGCACCTTGGATAGAAGCAGCCTGATTAAAATGTAAATTAAATGTCTCTAAGAGGTTTTTTAACTACATAATCCGTTAGTATCAAACCTGATTTTTCCAAATTAGAAAAAATCATTTCTTTTGAATATGGTATAATTTCAATATAAAAATATTAATACCATAAAATCTGGATAGACCATCCAGGCTTAAGAAATCAGCTTGTAATAACAATGTAAAAAGAATGCTTATTAATAATTAGCTATTTTCATACTCCTAACAGGAAGGTTTATAGTATGGAGAATAAAACTAAAAATAATTATTTCCCAGTGACTTTTCTTTCATCTCATTCAAAAAAGAGATATATTGTTGAAGCTAGTCTAAATATACTGCATACTTAAAATGTTTCAAAGGAATCTAGCCACTTTTTATATTTATCTAGATTTTTAAAGTTTTATTCTGTGTGTATCTTGACTTATTGCAACTGTTAGCACTTAAAATTCTGTAGAATTTAATCAAAAAAGATTGTATATTGTTAATATTTTATTATTTTTTCTCTTTTTTCATTATATTGTAATCTCCTTGAGGTTGGAATATCTATTTGTTTCACACTATATCACACACAAAAAGTCAACCACAGACAATAGGATTTTTTTCCCCAAACAACTGTACTTGGTCCATCACCTCCCCTTTACCCACTAATATTGCTTTGGTTTTTGTTTACCTGGTTCTAATGATCTTCTCTATCTCTATTCAGCTTAGTCTCTACTTTTGGCCACGTTGCTGTTTTGTATACTTGCTAATTGAATACTTGGCTGTTGGTTCTGCTAAATATCCCATGTTCTTTGTATCTTATATAACATATGTGTTGAATTTTCCTTTCTTAGTCTCAGAACCTGATAATAACCTCATTAGTCCATTTGCTCAGCCCCCAAGAGACAGGAAGTCAGAGTTATCCACAACAGGTATTCTAATAACTATTGTTCGCTTATTAATTTTTGCTATTAAGGAAACATTTTTAAATGGTGGCGAAATAAAGAGACAGGCACACAAACACACACACATGCACACACACACAAACACAGTATTTTACATACACAATTATTCTAGAACTTAGCTGAAACATAATAACCTGTATATCCCATCATTGGATGGTTAAGTCATATAGATTACTTGCTATTATCAAGCCCAGTAACATGATGTATATTTTATTATCACCATTACAGAAATGGAGAAAGCAAGTCAATTAAAGATGTACAATATACTAATTGATTATCAAATTAACTTTTAAAACTCTGTAATAAATAAATGTACCAATATTACGTAAACCTGGTAATTATTTTTAGTTATTATTTCAACAAATGATTATTTAATACATATTATGTGCTAAATACAGTAATAGTAATGAACAAAACTTTATGCTGTCATGGAGTTTACATTCTTGATAAACTACTGAAGATGAACTACTGAATAAAATTTTAATGACATGTAAAACAGTATACTGGATGTTGATTTAATAAGTGAAGTAGAGAAAAGGAAAGAAGAAAAGGAAAGCTGTTGAGAGAGTGAGAATGCACTGAGCTGAGCAAGTAAGGGGTGAATAATGACCCAAAATACATGAGAATGAGCAATGAAGAACATAGATTTCTTTCTGAGCAAAGGAAACAGCAAATGCAAAAGCCTGTGATAGAAGGAAATCTGGCATATCCAAGGAACAGAAAAGTGGCCACTGGGACTGGTGTAGAGTAAGTAGGAAAATAATAGGGGATAAATTCAGAGAATTGTGGGTAACAGATCATACTGATTTCTGTGCGCAATTTAAAGAAATTTATCTCTTAGTGAATGAGGAACCCACTGGATGGTCTAATTGACATAGTCTGATTTAGTTTTTTGTTTTTTTTTTTTTTTTGAGACAAGCTCTCACTCTGTTACCCAAGTGAAGTACAGTGGAATGCAGTGGCACCATCTCTGCTCACTGCACTCCACTCCTTGCTCACAGCAAACTCCGCCTCCCAGGTTCAAGTGATTCTCCTGCCTCAGCCTCCGGAGTAGCTGGGATTACAGGAGCATGCTAACATGCCCAGCTAATTTTTTTTTTTTTTTTTTTTTTGGTAGAGACAGAGTTTCACCATGTTGGGCAGGCTGGTCTCAAACTCCTGACATCAAGTGATCCACCTGCCTTGACCTCCCAAAGTGCTAGGATTACAGGCGTGAGCCACCATGCCTGGCTGACTTAATTTTAATATCACTTTGGTTGCTGTGTTTAGAATTTGGACAGTGCAGGGAAGGGCTGGAGAAGAAATATTAGTTTATAGATTATTTTACTAATTCTGGTTTTAAAATGGCATTCGTTTAGACAATAGTCTTGGTGGTAGTAGTTGTGTAAGGTACAGTGTAAGATTTTGTATACATTTTGACTGTGGAGCAGATAAGATTTGCTTACATACTGGATGTGGGGTTTAACTGAAAGAAAGAAAGAAGTCAAGAATGATTCCAAGGTTTTTGGGCCAAGTAACTCAAAGTTGGGAAAACTGTGTGAGGAGGAGTTTCGGGGGTTTTGAAATTCACTATTGGATGCTGTGTATGAGATGTCTATTAGACATCTGGATAGAGACATCAAGTAAGTAACTGAAGTAGATATTGAGAACTCAAGGGAGAAACCAATATATATATATATATGTAAATTTTATATATAAATATATATAATGTAATTTTTATATATAAATATAAATATATATAAATTATATATAAAAATTATATATATATAATATATATATAATATAAATTATATATATAAATTTAAATTATGAGACTGGATGAAACCATGATAGCAATGAGAATAGATTAAAATAAAGAAGATACTCTTTCACTGAGTCCTTTTAGGAGGTCGGAGCACTGAGACATTTGGTTCAGATGTGAAGGCTGAAGTCACACTCTCACCAAGAGGGTATAAAAATGTTTACATGTAATGCTTATGTAAGTAATAAGGCTTTATAGGAACAGCAACGCAGCCTTCCCAATATGGTCCAAAATGGCTTGAGAGAGCAAGAAAAAGGCCCGGCCCTTCCTTCCTTGTAGTTTTTCTTGTTGTTAGAGGGCAGAGTCAGAGTGAGAGTTCCCATATGTAACCTGGGACTTATGTGGTTTAAATAATCAAAGAAGAGAGTACCCAGTCATTCTTTTCAGTCTGTGTAGATATAGGGCTGAATATATGAGGCTCAACAAAATATATAGAAACACTTCCATTCTGACATGTGTCTTGTGACTTTTAAAAAGTTAAAGAAGATGAAAGTGGTTGGGCTTGGTGGCTCATGCCTGTAATACCAGCACTTTGAGAGGCTGAGGCAGGTAAATCACTTGAGGTCAGGAGTTCGAGACCAGTCTGGCCAACATGGCAAACCCCGTCTCTACTAAAAATACAAACAAATTAGCCAGTTGTAGCGGTGCACGCCTGTAGTCTTAGCTACTCGGGAGGCTGAGGCAGGAGAATTGCTTGAGCCTGGGAGGTGGAGGTTGCAGTGAGCCGAGATTGTGCCACTGCACTCCAGTATGTGTGACAGAGGGAGACTCCATCTCAAAAAAAAAAAAAAAAAAAGGACTCAGACTTATTAGTGGAAACTAGAAGTAGTAATCTTTGAGTAAGGGATATGTCAAAAGACAAATGGAGAAAAGGTGTTTTGAACATGATTGAGTTATCAGCTGGGCCAAATGTTGATATAAGTCAAATGGTATAAGTACTATTAATAACCACTGGTTTAGGATTATGGAGGTCTTTATGTAACCACCGGTTTAGGGTTATGGAGGTCTTTATATCTTTAAGAAGAATGGCTTCAGTAGAGTGATGAGGAGAAAGTCCTACTTAGAATCATCTGAAATAAGAATGAGTGGGGAGAAATTGGAGGCCGTGAGTATACACATATCTTTGTCCAAGTTCTATTATAAATACGAAGAAGAGAAATAAGAAGATTGGGAAGAAGATACTGGGATTAAGTGAAATCAAGTAGAGTTTGTAGTTGCAAGTGAAATTGATGCCTAACAGCACCACTTTGGTCACCTACATATGAACCTCTGACTTCCTCAACCTGATAGGCATCAATAATTAAAAGCACTTATGCAAAGCTTCCAACTTGATATTGCAAACTTAATGCACATTTTTAGCTATGCCATCTCACAAAATCTCATTCAAAGATGTAAATCTATTACAGTTCTGAGAATGAGAAGGTAGCCAGTTCATCTTTCACTATAATCTGCTAGTCTATCAAGGGATGATCAAAAGTGGATAAAGACACAGATTAGAAAAACATGTTCATTAGAGTGCAAAATAGTGGAAGGTCGGCTAGCTTAGGGGATACCTACAATAGTATCAGTCTGTGAGACAATAATGAGAGTTAATTAAAGATGGTTTCACAAAAGTAGTGGAAATCTTCTACCTTTACACATATTTGCCCCTCCATATTACTGATGGGAATGGTGGGCTGTCGGGAGCAGCCGCTGCCACCACACTGGCTGAAGAGGGGAGGTGCAAGTGGTGGCGGCAGGAGCAAGAGCAGGACCAGCAGTGGCGGCATTGGGGGGATCCCTGTGCCCCATGTCCCCTGTGCCCTGCATCCCCAGAGGCAGCAGACTGCACCGCCGCCACCCTCAGGAGGCCAGGGGACCCACCCCTCCCCACCCCCCTCCAGGCCCAGAGCCTCCGTTGCTCTGGACCCTGGGCCCACATCCCTGCTCTCACCCAGTGCTATTGCAAGAAGGTTTGGGGAGGAGGCAGACAGTCACTGGAGCTCACTGCCCTGGGGGCTGCCACGAAGGAGCCTGGCCGAGTCACCCTCTAGCCGGAGAGCAGTGTGGTCGGGCAGAGAGAGGCCCCGAGGCGGAGCTGGGCCCAGGGCATGGAGCTGGGGTCATGCCTCGGGGGCCCAGGCTGGGAAGTTGGAGAGGTGCCCACTTTGGGGACCCAGCCAGTCACATGGTCACTGTGCCCAACCCCAACCCGCCAAGGGCACCAGGTTTGTGTGCCTTGGGCGGAGTCTCTGCACAGGGCCTCCCGGGGCCGCATTCCCGGGGTCCGCTCCACATCAGGTAGCCGCCACGCCTGACACTACCAATAGCTAGGCCCGGGGCGCCATCCACTCCCGGAGGCACCCCCTCAGGCATGGCCGCTGGCTGTGTAAGAGGAAGCTCTGGGCCTGCCTGAGCACCAGGGCCACAGGGGAGCTGGCAGCAAAGTTGCCCCTGCCCCAGATGCAGGCCAGGTCCCAGAGAGAACCTGGGGCCCCGCCCCAGGCTGGGGGGAGATGTGGCTGGTGCTGCACACTCCACGGAGCAGGCAGAAGCCTGGAACGAGCGGAAGCCCCACCCCTTCTGAGTTGGTCAGGTGGGAGCTTCCTGGGTGCAGCTGCAGATGCCCTGCCATGGGTCTGGACCCAGGTTTCTCTGCAGTCTGCGCCTTCAGGGGCTCTGGAAGGACCCCCCCCCATCCCTGACCCCTAGTCCCACAGGCTCAGGAGTGTCAGCTACTGCTGCGTGGCCATTCCCCATTCCCAACACACCCTCCAGTCTCAGAGCAGGGTTGGGGCCGAGCTTGGATATCTTCACGGCCTGGCCAGGTGGGTGGATGCTTGAGGCAGTGCTGACATGCCAGCCCCTCCCACCTCAGCCCCCTCTGGATTTTGGGCACCAACAAGCTCAGGTGGGGGAGACGGTGAAGTGGGTGCTGAAGGCTGCTAGGTACTGGCTTGCAGTTGCCCCATGGTGTGAGCAGCCTGGGCACCATGGACAGTGGCAGGAGTCAGAAGGCTTCTGGGTGGAAGGGGGTGGGTCCCCAGTGAGGCCCCACCTTCAGGCAAGGGAGGGCCTGAAGGCTGGGGGCTGGACTGCCAGTCCCTCAGACCAGAGTGGGGACTTGGGGTGGCTTTTCTGGTCAGCCTATGGCCGCCCATGGACATATTGGCATACACTTCCTCCCCACTGAGGCCCATGAAATCCCGGGTCTCAGACAGAACAGAGTAGAGGACAGAGAAAGCACAGGATGACCAGCTGCAGACAGGGGCTACCTTCTCTTCTGAGAGCTGCAGAGACAAAGGAGGCCCCACTCTAGGGCCTCTTCTCTGCCGAGAGTTGAAGACGAATGACCAGCTGTAGAGAGGATCTACACTCTGAACTGAACACTTGTTGGGATTACCTGCCTGCAGAGAGGAGTTCCCTCTCTGCTAGGAGCTGAACACCCGTCAGGACACCCTGACTATAGAGAGGATCTACCCACTGCGGGTCTTCTCTGGGCTGTTCTGTTGCTCAATAAAGCTCCTCTTCATCTTGCTCACCCTCCACTTCTCTGCATACCTCATTCTTACTGATTCCAGGACAAGAACTCAGGACCCATTGAATGGCAAGGCGAAAAGAGCTGTAGCACAAACGGGGCTGAAACATGCCCCTTCTTTTCCACATTGTGGGCAAATAGAAGGAGTGAAGAGCTGTGGCCCTTCAGGGATCCCAGACCTGGGAGCTCCCGGAGCCAGGGCTGTGACTCCCTGTTTGGGGCCCTGCCCTTCCTGGCATCTCCAAGCTTCTGGGCACCACCACATTCCCCAGTGCCAGTAGGGGAAGCTGCTTGCAGTGCGCCCAGTCAAGCTGCAGCCTCACAGAGAGCTGGCTCCCATGGCACCAACTGGAGCTGCCCACCTCATGGCAGCAGTTGGCACGTCTGACTATGCAGTGGCCAGACCCCACTCTACTCTACACCTGAGTCGCAGTTTCCTTTAGAGGCAAGGAATCCAGGCCAATAGTAGTGAATTCAGCCTGCCAGGTCAAGTGGGCAGAATAAGTGGGCCCAAGCAAAACTCGGGCAAAGGTGCCACCAGCCACAGGTTTCCAGCCAGAAAAGCAACACCTCAAAGATCCCATAATATTAAAACATGATATTATGTTGTTTCCTATCTTCCGCTGTCCACAGGCAGACTGAACCTCAGGACAGGTTTACTCTAGTCCAAAAAACAAGCTTGGGAAGGAGTAGAACATCTGATATGGCTATTGGCTTTCAATAAAGAAGCTCTTATTTCTGCATTAGTATGAGCCCCAGAATATGTTTTTCATCATGCTACCTGAACATCAGTGTTGCCAAGAAGAAGACCTTTCCGTAGAGATAGTTTAGTAAGTAAATCCTCCAATACTGGGGAAAAACCTGTGTGGAAACACAATGCCCACACACGCTTAGCTACCTATCATAATTCTAGTACTAAACTCACCAAATGCATAATAATTACCAGGCATTTGAGAAGAACTGATACCATGAAAAGTCAAGTTGCAGAAAGAGAACTTACTGCAAAGAAAGCAAAACTTTTAAAATATTAAATTAGAATTAGTATCTTCCATTGTTTGTTGATTAAAAAAAAAGTATTTGAGAGTAAGAAACAGTTCTAGAGAAATACGACTATGATTCCCCAAAAAAACTGAATAAATGTCTGCAAGATAAAGTTAAGCAGAACCAATGGAAGAAAAATAATAAAATATACAATAGAAGAAAAAAATTATAAGCTGAACTTAAACATGTTTTCAGAGTTAAGGTATCAACAAGATATATGAAAACAGTTCCATTCTGACATGTGGCTTGTGAATTTTAGAAAGTTAGGAAAATTAAAAGCTATAAAAACTTTGAGATTAAAGAAAATCAGGTTATCCTATGAAGGTATGACAATCAGTCTAGCCTCAGACTTTTCATCAGCCACATTAAATATGAGAGGCAAGTGGATAAACAATCTCAATATTCATAGGAAAATAGATTCTACCTAGATATCCAAAGTGAAAAATCATCAAATATAAACAAAAACACTTTCAATTATTCAAACATTCAAGAATTTAAATTCCATTTATTTTCTGTTTAAGAGGGAATAAGAAAACATAAAAAAGGGAGACTATTTTAAATGATAAAGCCTGTTCCCCATAACAAAGTTGGTAATGACTTGAATATATATCATAACAGACAGAATATTGGGGTGACTGAGAGTCTAGATTTTAGTGTTCCATTGCCTGCTCCACCATTTATTAGTTCGGTGATCTTTGTCAAGTCATTTTTCCTCTCTGTGCCTCAGTTTCATCACTTGTAAAATAAGCATAATTGGACCAACCTCACAGAGTTGTTGTGAAGATTAAATGAGTCACTATATGTGAAATACTAAGAATTATACTTTGGATGTAATAAGGTTTAAATAATTTATCCATAACCATTATTGTCATTGAGAATATTTCAGTAATGAGGTGAGCACATAATATCCAATCATACATTAAGCATCAAAAATTGAAATAAATTCAGGCAGAATGTTATTAAATGTATAAAAATACATCAGGGAATGAATAACATGAAAATAAATTAAAACTTAAAGTATAACAAAAACTCGTGAGATTTAATTACACAATGAAACTGAGAAATATGATATTCTTTTGATTTATATTGTAAACTTTCAATAATGTGGAGAATATGTGAATGAATGGAAATATGGGGCTGGGTGAATTGGCATACTTGACTGATAATAAAGTAGAGGTTGAATAAAGGACTTATGTAAAGAAAAGAAAAATGTGTAAAAAGGCCAAATCTAGGCAACTTCTCAGTTTTTCATTGGAAAGATGTGTCTAAGGGACACATTGCTGGTGGCAGGAGGCTGTAGGTAGGGGTGTGAGCTCTCTTCTCAGGTTCAGACTCTGGCTTCAACCTATGCTAACTGCTAACATAACAATTATCTTAGAAAAGAGGTTACTGAAAATAGTAGATTTCACCCTGTGCTGAGGAGTTTGAGTTGCTGTAGTGGAGGCCCCAGGCTGTGAGTGTCTTACTGTAAAAGCAGCTAGTCAATAAACCAAAAATTCATGGGACTGGCTGTCTCCAGGCTCCATAGAGGCACTGAAAAGAATAGGAAGTTTTTCCACAGTTAGTAGTTTAAGGCAGAGAATTAAACAAATTCAATCACTATATATTGAACACTCTTTATTGGCTTTCATTTCTTAGAAAAAAATCCAGAAAATTTATATTCTCAAGAGTTAATACAAATTTTATTAACATTAAAATATTAAAATTATAATACAGAATTTTAAAAAGTGGGCAGTTTAAAAGGCAAAGAAAAGTTAGAAAAACCAATAAGGATGACAATTAAAATGTAACTAAAAAAATTTAAGGAGAGAAAAAAGAAGGTTCATGTGAGTCAATTTATTATACTTCATACAAGGGAGTCACCAGGCACTGTCAAAAATGATTAAAATTGTGGCATATAGGCACATTATTTAGAATGACAGAGACAAGTACCAGAAACATTAGAAAATAAAATTCAGTTTGATTCCTTTTTGGGAGAGAGGAAATGGAGAAGGAAAAAGGAGTGCATGCGTGTGTGCGTGTGTGTGACAGAAAGAGAGAGGGAGGAGGGGCAGTCCTTATTTCACTCAAAAGGAATGAACACCTCTGTTAGTAGGAATCAGCATTGTCTTGGTGTTTACTCAAGTAGAGCGAGCCAACTATACAGCAGGGACTAGAACCCAAATTACTTGACCATGTTCACCTTATGAAACTCCAGGGGAAGAAGAAAGGAATTAACAACAAAGATATAACATTAAGCATCCAAACTACTATTGTTCAGATAATTTTGTTGCTACCCTGGCAAATTATACACAGATATGCACACAACAACCATTGTTAAATGACAAACTGTATGAATATTATCAGTTGACTCATCAAGAAACCACCCACACTCAGGAAGTATGTTTATAACTTGCACTATTTATTTTTTTCTATTCAAAAAAATAAACCATAAGGAATCAAATAGTTAGAATGGTCTTGAGATAAAATTGCTAGTTAACGAGGTGTGCTGAATGGTTTCTTCAGCCACTGTTATAAACTGCTTCAGACATGCTGGTTGTTCCAAATGAGCCATGCAATGGCAAAATGAAGATGGAAAAAGACACTTTTGAACAAGATTTGGGGGACTCTGTTAATGTCCTAAATGTCATTATGCATGGTTTCTTGATGAGACCATTTCAACATTTCCTAATTCTACCACAATTTAACAGTTACAGCAGACCTAGTTTCCTTGAAATTTGTTGTGAGGTTAGTAATGAATTAATTCTACCTGCACTAGAGAATTAAAAAACTCATTTTGACTTAAAATAGCTCCAAACCCTATGATGTCTGACTAGCAACATTTTTGTCTGTCCAAGAAATCTTTATGAACCATTTTCCCCCCAGGGGATTAAAATTAATGTAAAGAACAAAATTAACTATCTCTCAACACACCAAATCTAATAACATAAACAAATCAAAATATTTATGTCCTCAAAATGTATTTTTTAAATCATCAGTCTCTCTGGTGAATAGCTGATATTTTATGTAACACTCCTGAGTAAAGGGCAATATGTGCAATTGTATTAATATTTTAATTTATTCTCATATCATTCACACTAGGGAAGTTTTATCTTTAACACTGTACTAGAAAATGTCTCATAATTTTAACAATTTTAAGTAAAAACAATGTCTCAATAATATTCTATTTTATTTAATATTTTGAAAAAAATCTTTTAGAGCAACTCCTGTAATATGTGCAGTGACTCTTTAAATTCTCTTGTTTTGAAGATTTCAAATATAAGAAATGTAACATAAAGTTTGCATATAAGAAGTTTTCATTTGTTGTAAATTCACCATTTGCAAACCATTTTATAAAGTCTTCTTAACATGTGTCCAACATGTGTCCCTCAATCTACACAGTTATTCTACTTATTGCTTTTAAAGGTAGATCATAGCATTTCTGTGACAGTTCTATAGAAAACTATTACTGTTAAGTGCCTCTCAAATACTGTAATGAATCTCTCACAATTTGTAGAGAATAATCCTAACATTTATATTTTCAACTCTAAATGAATAAAACTCATCATTAAGTTAAGCATTTAAAATATTTCATAATATTAAATGTATTGCTATTAATACTCATATTGGGGAAATGTTTTATAGTTTATGAATTTTGTAGGTAAGAGTCTCATCAACAACACCGTGACTGTGACACACACACAAGTAGAAAAATCTATGTTCTATTTTACTCTATTTTATCATGTAAAATAGAGTTTTATAAATAGTGAGATAGGAGCAAAATGGTAGGTCATTAAGGCCTATCTACAAGAGGAATATCTTTTTTCCTGAGATTCACGGGATACCTGAAACTCTCCTACACAATTATCTTCCAAAATCTGATGGTTATCTGAGGCCTGAAAACAACTCAAGGAGTGTGCTGAGATTTAGTGTTTTATCAGAGTATCGCTATAACCTTCTATTCACTGTAGATACCTAAATCATCCAGAGCGTGCTTGAGTTCTTAGTTGTAGTGTGTCAGGGAAATAAATATCTTAAGAAAAGAGTTTGGACAGAAGTGCTTTTCTACATTATGAATCTCATCACCACAAGCATAAAACTTCAGTTTGTGTGAACCATAAAATTCATCTTTCCTAGAAGGCCATCCTCTTCAATCTCTTGTATAATGCACTAATTTACTGGACAATATACTGGAGAGATGATTGCTCTAATTTACCTTAATATTTCCAGTAATGGGAACTCATTACCAATTAAGGAAGCCTCATCAATTTACAGAGAGTTTATGTGTTCTTTGGCTAATCTGGAAAACTTCAGTAGTGTGTGTGTGTGTGTGTGTGTGTGTGTGTGTGTGTGTGTAAAATGTTCCATTTCTTAAAATTCCTTAACATTTCATGCAATCTCTATGCTTTCTTCCATTCAGATAGTTTAACCTGTTGTATTGAATGGTACAGTAGAATCAAACAACAAATGTCTTGACAGGAAACTCAATGGCTTAGGTTTTCGGGGTGGGACGTAAAAATCCCAGTTTTGATAGGAGGCTCAATGGCTCAGCTTTTAGGGGTGGGATGGAAAAATCCCAGGTCATAGCAATGGGTTTGGAAGTGTGAATGAGAAGTGATTCTTCTACTCCCTGGACACTACATCATTATTCCCTGTACTTAAAAAGGGAAGAGTCAGAGAAAAAGTGAAAATAATTTTGATGTTGGTATAAGTCCCTAAGAAGTGCAGGTACACCTGAGTCCCAGTTTTTGTTAAGAGGGTTAATAATACAAACTCCAAATACAGAGAAGATAAATGATTCTCCATTTCTTACTCCCTCTCTCAGCAAAAGCTGAAATTTGCAAAACCTAAAGCTTCCCTTCAGCTCAGTTACCTAAGAAAGGGAGAAGCTTGGAGAATTATAGACAATGGATCCAGAGAGATAAAAAGAAAATGTCTGACTAGAAATGCAGCAAGATTTATGGACAGGGATGAAGGCTCACTTGGGGTTTGTTGCCATCAATTCAAAGAACAAACTATGAGTGAGACTGCATATTTTTCTCTAGCCCCTACATTCATCTGCCTTGGTATACTGCAGAGCAACAGGATGATTTGGGTTTTTGATAGGTTAATACCATAGATAATACAAGAAAAAGGAAAAAAAGGATATGGAGTATATATAGATGTTGTTTGCATGGTATTGATTATGATACTCAACCAGGGTTATAAATTGAATGTATAACTTTTGACTCCCCAAAAACTTAACTACCAATAGCCTACTGTTGACCAGAAGCTTTACCAAGAACATAAACAATCGATGAACACATATTTTATATGTTATATGTACTATGTACTGTATTCTTATAATGAAGTAAGCTAGAGTAAAATGAATGTTATTTAAAAAATCATAAAGGTGAGAAAATATAATTAGTATTCGTTAAGTGGATGTAGATCACCATGAAGCTATTCATCCTCAATTTCATCACTTAAGTTGTCTGAGGAGGAAAAGAAGAGGAAGGGTTAGTCTTGTCTCGGAGGTGGCAGAGGTGGAAGAAAATCTGCATATAAGTGGACCTAATGTAGGTCAAACCCATGTTGTTCAAGGATCAACTATATATATGGATATGGATTGACTACATATATATATAACTCATATAAGGAGAAACTATATATATATGTGTATGTATTTGTATATATGTGTGTGTATATATATGTATATAATTTCTCTTTATATGAGTCTTAACATGAATATGCCAGTAAGCTGATTTTTAAATATCAGCGAGGCTAGTTCCTTATCATGGAGGCAAGAAAATTTTCAGTACATGCAAGAGTGCAAGGCATACAAGAGGTACTGCATTCTAAAATAATTACTACTAATTTAAGAAATAATGAGAAGGTCATTATAAAAACGCTTGTTCATTCATAGCTATTCTTTTTTGTGAGCCATACATGAACATATTTGAAAGCTTTCAGTTTCTTAAAGCTTCATAATCATTAGTATGTTTTTGCAATATTGATTTACGAATGTACATTAAACACTGATTTATAGAAAGACGTTCTCGAGAAAAGATGAAAAGATCTCAAATCCACGTCATGAGGCATGTGTCAATTTGTGGGTCTCAAGTTGAAACTGACATCCTTCAAATGCATAAGAAAAGAATGGTCTTAACACTATAACCTTGTTTCTTACAGTTGAGTTACTCTTCCGGTGCTATGTTTACCTGTTTTCTTTTTCATATGATAGAGGTATGTTGCTTTAAAAGACTTTAGGAAAAATTGTGGCATATTCAAAATGTACTAGGTCTTTCTCTTCAGTAAGTGAAATTAAGTTGATGCTAACCTTGAGAGCAAAACAACATGATGCAGGAATCATGTAAGTTCTGGAATGTCTCTTGAACCTCAGGATCATCACTTACTATCTATGTGACCTTGGACAAAAAATTAATCCCTGGTTATCTTCTTGGTATTGGAAACAATATATTAGCCTTGCAAAATTGTTAGAAGGTGTAGAAATAATAGTACATGTAAGCTATTTTTCATGGATTTATGCATGGTATGTATTTAAAAGGTGATAGGCAATGCTGTGTTGATGAAGATAGAATTAATAATAAAAAAATCAGTGAAATCTTATAAAATTCTGACAGGCACCTACAATTCAGGAAAATAACTTGTAAATGTTGGGATAAAATATAACCACACAGCCATTACTTATAAGTGAGGAAACAATACAAGGTGAATGAATGACTCTGAAATAAAAATGTAATAAAGTGTCTGTTTAAATTTTTTGCCATTTTTTAAATTGAATAGATTAATTTCTTGATATGCTCAACATTATTTGACATTAGAAAAATGTACATTAAAATCACAATGGGATAATATTACATACTCAGTGGAATAGCTAAAATTAAAAAGACTGATTATACCTAGTGTTGACAAGGATATAGTGGAAACAAAAATTTCATACTCAGCTGGTGGAGATGTAAAATGATATATCCACTCTGAAGAAAAACAGTTTGATGGTGACCATATGTTGCAGTTATTCCACTGTAGTTATTTAACCAATAGAAATTTAAGCATATGTTTATACAAATAATTGTACATAAATGTTCACAGCCGCTTTTATTTGTGGCCCAAACCTGTAAACAATCCAAATGACTATCAACACATGAATGGATAAACCTATTATTGTACATCTATACTATGCAATACTAGGTATCAATGAAAAGGAATGAACTATGGACATATGTGGCAACACAGATAAAACTCAAAATAATTATGCTAAATGTAAAAGCCAGATTGTGTATTTTATAGAATTATATTTAGATAAAATTTGAGAAAATGAAAACATTAATCTAGAATAACAAAGTGGATTGGTGGTTGCCTGGGATGAAAGTGAGTAGAGGTTGGGGAGGAGGTCACAGAGGGCTTACAAGGATACTTTTATGGTTATGGGTAGAATCATAATCACATTTATATAAAAGATGTCATGGGCCAAAAGCCTGTAAATTTTCACCCTTTAAATATTTCTTATTAAATGCCAATTGTATGTCATAAAGTTATTTTAAAAAGTAAAGTATAAATAAATATAATTCCTGAAAACTTATTTGGAAATAACTCTGATGAAGAAGGAAAGGTGTAAACATGTGACTAATCAGGGAGAATCAAAATGAATTCATATTTACATACAAATATAAGTAATGGCAATAAGAGTACATATTACAGAGAAACAGCAAAAAGTAGCATAAAATAAAAAAAAAATCATTTGATATCATAAAGCCCAGAATTACTTGAGGTCTAAGAACATTGCTAAGGTCAGAAAGAATGTTTTCTTTTAATTCTTATTTTTTTCTGACCATATAGAAAAACACATGCTCATTTTCAAAGAAGAAGGAAATGAGACATTATAAAGAGAAAATAAATCTCAAATGCATGCTAACTTGGGAGCGCAACCAGCAGTTTTCTAGGATTATGTACACATATAGACATATTGTAGTAATTATATTTTATGTAGACCATAAATATATTTTCTATAAGTCAGATTTATCTAAATTTATTTTAATAAGTGTTCAATGTTATGCACTATTGTTGTACCATAATTTCGTTTTCCACATTTTCTTTTTTTTTTTTTTTTTTTTTTAAGTAGAGACAAGGCCTCACCATGTTGGCCAGACTAGTCTTGAACTCCTGACCTCAAATGATCCACCTGCCTTGGACCCACAAAGTTCTGGGATTACAGGCGTGAGCCACCGCGTCCGACGCTTCAATGTTTTATTTTCAAATATTAGGCCCCCTCCTTCAATTTAAAATATGCTTCTGTGAACATTCTTGTACATAAACCTTGGTGTTTAGTTAGTACATACAAATTTTCAGTGAATAAATGTATGCTCCCTTAATAAATGTCACCATCATCTTTGAGCTATTCCAGGAACTTAACTGTTCTGACTGTCCTGTTGGCTCCATCCCTGCCCTAATACTGGCCATCAGGACCGACATTACGCTGCAGGCAGACTTACCTTTTAAATAAATAAATAAGATCATATCATTTGCAGCATAAACTCCACAGTGCTCTCAGTGTAACTAGAGTATAATAAAAACATCTTTTCAGGACTAAAATAACCTACATGATCTGATTTCAGCTTTCTCTAATCTTATTTCTTTCCACTTTCCTCCTCTCCTACTCCTCCTTCTTCCCGCCCCCTCCCCCCGCCCCCGCTCCCGCCCACGCAGGAACGCAGATTTTTCTTTCTGTTATTTTAATAACATCAACTCTATTGATACTAGTTGCAACTCTAGTATATCACTCATTTACGTCTTTATCAAAGCACTTATCAACAGGGACTTGCTTATGTGTTTAGAACTTAACTCTCACACTCCATCCCTATTGTCATGTAAGCTACTAAGGTCAATGATCCACCTGCCTTTTTCACTCCCATCACTTAGAGAAGTGCTTGACAAAGATTAAGTTCCTGTAGAACATTGGACAGTTTTCTAACAAGCATCAACAACAAATCTGTAATTATTTTAATGTTTCTTTAATGGTTATCACAGTTAAAAACACTTCTTTATCAGTCGCTCTAGTCAAAATATAGAAACTTCATCAGATTATTGAACAGAGTTTTGATTTAAAAATTGTAAACTGGGTCTTAGAGAACTAGAAAGACAAAAAGGAGGCACTAGGCTATCACAGAAAGAAGCAGCTGCCACCTGTAAGACTGGAGTACAAAAAGACCAGGTTGGAATTATTCAAATTGACAAGTTTGGAGGAGGAATCCTGTGAATCTGAGACTCAGCTCTCTAAGGAGCGATGCTTTCTAGTGCTACCTGCGAGATGCCAGAATATGACTTCCATGTATGTGGAAAGACTGCAAACTGGAATCAGCTGCTGCTCCTCCAATCAGCTCTACTGCTTCCAGGGTGAAGTGGTGTTGTGGTGATTGTGACAGGAATAGGAATCAGATAGATGTAGCATGTCCTTTTTCCTCAGACAGCTTCCTTCTATTGGAAGAACTCCTACTGGAAGAATAACAGGAACCAGCTATCAAAGAAGAGAGTTTTGCAAAGTTCCAACCCCAGCCTCAAAAAGCCCGGCACAGGAGGGTCAGTTTGAAGATGAGATCAATACCTTAATAACCAGAATATTTCCTAATTCAATAATATTTTAACTTTTATTTGGTAAATTATCATAACTTTCTTAATAAATTTTAATGTTTGAGGATATTTAAATATTTAATATATTTTAAATTCATCTTGTTAAAAGTTTTGAAATTATGGTCTATTTTAAAATTTCCCCACAGTTAGACATCTGTCGTATCACCACTCATTGAATAATTATGTCTTTCCTCACCACTGAAAATTGCAACTATATCACACACTAAACTCCAATGAGGGCAGATAGATAGATGGAGAGAGAGAGTTTTGTTGTTGTTGTTGTTGTTGTTTTTCCAGTATTTCTATCTCACTAAATGACACTATTCTAGCTAGAAACCTGAGTATCATCTCTGACTGCACGTTTTGGATCTCCTTTCTTGTCTGATTTTTTTCTGACTTCCCTGAATCCTTATCCCATCCCCACCCAAAATGCTATAATGGCCTCCTTTGGCTCTCAGGAATACATCTTTAACATATCTGACGAGTACTAATATTATCTGGCATGTACCCACCATCACAGTTTCACATTGTAGTGTACTTCCATTTGCTTACTGTATTTTAACTCCACGGGATTTTTTCACTTACAAGTGCTAATTTTCCAGCACAGTCAGGGTCTTTATCAGCAGGGTTCCTCTGCCTAGAACACTTTACCACTCCCAATCTGCAGCTGGGAACCTCTTCAACTTTAGACCTGAGGTATCTTGTTTCTCTCTTGGGATAATTTTTATGATCTTCCTCACTTAGTTACACTCTTCTATTATATAATAACTTTTAGAATGGCACATTACTAATCTCTTTCTACAGCTCAACTGTAAGTTGTGTGCAGACAATGTTTTGGCTCACACATTTTATCAGTAGAGTACCTGCCATGTACTGATTACTCAGTAAATATATGCTTAGTGACTAACAGAGACATACGATCTATTATTAGGTACACATATCCAGTTATCTGTCTACTTTATTTTCTAAGAAAAAATTATAATGTTTTTTGAAATCTTCATTTAAAACAATTTATTAATAGGTATTTTATATTTTCTGTTGCTACTATAAGTGGAAGTATTCCCACTTTATTTTCAAGTGAGGTTTTTTTTTATTCAAACAGTGTTTTAATTGAATTTCTTGGAAGAGAGATTTTTTTAACATAATAACTTCTGAAAATAATAGTGATAGTTTCCCTCTTTATTTCAAATAGCTGTTTGTCTTATTAGGTTTTTTCTTGAGTATTGTTTAAAGCTTCCAGGAAAAAATATTCAATGATAGAAGTAATTGTGGGAATTCTTACAAACAGATTTATCTATATTTTTCAATAAATAAGAGAAAAATTATGCTATACTAATAAGTAGTAGAAAGAAATAGACTATTAAATTTTAATTTTATGTTTATTTTGTAAAAACACTGCCCTTGCCTAGTGTGCTACCATTCTACTCCCAGGACAATATATTTTATTTTCCTTAGATTCCTATATCTATAAGATAAAGTTCTCTTCCTCTTCGTGGGTAATACATGTAGTTCAGTTTCTTGTTTTTTACTATGTATTACCACAAGTTCCAGGATAACACAGAGGACACTGGAACAAGACTGCTCAGATTTGAATCCTTGATCCATTTTTTACTAGATTTATGACCTAGGCCAGTCATTTTATTTCTCTCTGACTTGTTTTTTTTTCTGTAAAATAACATAAGAATAAAAGAAGTTCCTATACATAAAATATTTAAGTCTTGAAGATTCACAAGGCTACTATTTAGAATTATAAAATTATACAATCACAAACATAGAATTATATAATATTGGGTATAAAATTATGATCAAGGAACCCACCATTTTTATAATTTAGAATTTAAAATGTATATATTAAATGTGTTTTCTACTTTCATTTAATCAGTAATGCCTTTATATGTTTTAACAGGGTTGTAAACTAAAAATCTATATTAAAAGCATGTAATTGTGTACAACTGCTTATTAAAGGACAGTTGCAGGTCAAAAAACATTGCACATGGTTCTGATTTATTCATAGCAGCTCAAGGACATAAGCAAGACTTAAAACTTATCGATAAGTGAGAATTTTGAGACCAAGTTAGAAAGATGTGTCCCTTTAATTTCTATAAAAGATTAGCCACTGAATGGAAAACATGGAAAAAATCAAGATATAATAGTTGAGAGCGGCTATGCTGGGCATATTTCATCCAAAGGAACCATCTCTATATGCGGATATCCCTCAAATCTAATCAAGGTGACCAGAGCATTCTCACAGGGAAAAAACAATCATTAAGCTTAGAAAAAGTTAAAACCTAATCGCTGTGTGTGTGCGCCTCATGAAATCTTCTGATTAGAATTCAGCCCCTTGCACATTTATACTAGGCTGGGATGCCAAGAATGCTAAACATGAGTGTTCCAGTCCTTCAAAAAGGAATAGTATAATCCTCATAGTAAAAGTAATAAATTGCCTATTGACTTAAATCTAAGCCTTCCATCTGTTTGTCATTGGTAATTGGCCTATGAGTCAGACTGATTAAAATAAATATGTGTAACTAATTTGAATATTTAAGAAACCAAGTCAAATTTTTAACATATATTTGGGGTAAACCTAAGATAAATAACTGGGTTTGAAAATATTAAATCAATATTTAATGTATGTATATTTGTTTATGAGAATATGCATTTATAATCAGGTTTACCTGAACCAGATGCTATACCAAAATACACCTTGTTATTCCTGATATTAATAAGCAAAGTCCACCAATAAGAGAGCATTCTTTCATGAGAGTCTCAGAAGTAAACTTCTCAGAATTAAGGTCTTAAATAATATTGGTGAGAGTTTTGATGTGTTATGAACACAATGAAAGATGTGAAGAGATGTTATGTGAGCACAGTTTTGAAAGAGGAATTGAATAAAAATTTTACCAAAAAAATAGCATTTTATCTTCTCCTGCTCTCCTGTAATATGACATTACCTACAAGGGAGACAGTCTAGGGGTTAAGGAAGTAACCATGTTCTCTGGACCCAGCAACCGTAATGTCCATACAGTTAACACAATAAACCCCAGCATTCACATTGCAGTTAAGCTCATTCAAGCAAAGCTATCTTCAGTAGGGAATTTCCCCTGTAGACAGCCTGCACATTTTGATTTTACCTGTCCTCAGACTGACACTTTGCTTACTATGATAGAAAAAAAAAAAAAAAGCACCCCTGGGTGGAGATTTGTGATTTAAATGAGACGTGTGATGGCTGAACAAATATGTACAGCTACTGCGCATGTGCCACCCAGAGGACCACACAGAACGTGCTTACTAGTAACACCCCTTTTCACCCCCTTATGAATAATCAACTGAGACTCCCATAAAGGAAGTCTCCCTAGTTCAAATCTTTGCTGTTTCATCCTTAGGAGCAGTCTGCCCTGAATCCTTCTCCCTCTCTCAGGGTGTACTGTCTATTCTGCAGTTAATTTTCAAAGTATTAGTTTGCTTTTGCAATAAATTACTCTGTGCTGCATCTCCTTTGCTGCGTGTCTCTTGCTTAAATTCTTTTTTTTTTCTTCTCCAAGTGTGATTTTTAAACTAAGAAGATAAGAACCGCGGTCAATGTCTCACATTAGCTGTCAACACAAGGGTAGTTTTTAATAAAAAAACATTTTCTATCAAATGGTTTTCTATCAAAACAAAATGAAATAAAACCAAAATTATAAGGAAAATTTTAAATCCTAGAAAATAATAGATCTACTAGGTAAACATTCAATATTATGGAAAACTTAACCAACACAATTTATGAACTGATCTAAGAGATATCAGTCTGGATATCTATCGATGCCTCAAAAGATACTAAGAATAAACATTTTTTTCAAAGTTGCACGCAACATTTACAAACAATATTTCTTTTGGGTTGCAAAGAAATTTTTACCAAATTATAAAATATTATTCCAAATAGAGGAATATAACTTGACCACAATATAAACCAGTAATTTAATAATAAACATATGCTCTCAGACCTATAGATCTGAAACAAAAATAGGTGTCATGAGGAATGAATAAAATGCTTTATTAATTTATATAAACTAATTACGATTTAAAACATCATAATGTAAAATTCAATTGAGCTAAATGAGGACTTGGAAATTTATATTTCATATTACTTAGAAAGCAGGGAATATTAAAATTTAATACACATCTTCCTAAATATGGTGGAAAAATATTTTCTATAGTTCCTTTAGGTTGATTATGTTAATAAATTTTTTTTAATTAGTTGAAGATAAATCAAGTACTCAGAGAGACAATAAGCAAACCAGAAATGGACTATTTTTCAAAAAATACCTTAGTAGAAGAAAATAGAAATATTTAGTGACTTATAATTTAAAAATATAAAAGCTATGTAAGAAACAACAAAAGATGCTTCACAAGCTTGGACTATACCAAAACTGAAATCTTGTAATTTAGAATAGTAGAAGCAAATTTTAAAATAAAGTTAAGGAACTGGGAAAACATCTGGCATATATAAAAAAGACAAAGGAAATCCTTAGACAAAGACAATGAAATCCTTAGAAAATGAATTAAGGAAGTAAACTGATTGTTCACAAGAAGGAGATAAAATTTAAAATATTTGTTTAAATCAAAGAAATTAAAATAATATTTTTTTTGTATATGCAATTAGGCAAAATATTATGACAGAAATAAATGGTGATAATGTTAAGTGTGCTTTCAATAAGTATTCTTTGTCCTTTTTAGAGACAGGGTCTTGCTCTGTCACTTAGGCTGTAGTGCAGTGTCACAATCATAGCTCACTGTGGCCTTGCACTTCTGGGCTCAAGTGATCCTCCTGCAGAATCAGCATTCTTATACACTTACGCTTAGGAATTCAAATTGAAACGGACATTATGAAAATTAATTTGGCAAACTATATTAATCTTTAATAGCATTCAATTTATGCTAGTGATTCCCTTTCTAGCAACTTATTTTTAAAAAAACAAAAAAAACCAGAAACTCTTTTTTTTCTTTTTTTTGAGATGAGGTCTCATTATATTGCCCCAGCTAGGGTTCAGTGACTATTCATAAGCCCAGCCACAGCACACAGCAGCCTCCAACTCCTGGGCTCAAGTAATCTTTCAACTTCAGTCTCCCAACATAAACTCTTATAATGATTTATCAATGAAGAAGTTTCACACATTTTTACAATAATAATAAACATAAACAGTAATTTTAAAATAGTTTATTTTTAATAATAAAATATTATTAATATAATAATTAAACTAAAAAAAATAAAAATCAGTTAAATAAATTACCTTACATGGGCATTATAATGGACATTTTTGAGGCACTACCCATTATTTCTTTTTCTTTTTTTTAAGGAAAATTTGTATTATTTCAATTATTTTTATGTACAGAAAACTCAATAGTATACATTTAACCGAGTTTAGTGCCAAGTTCTTTAGCCTTTGCCTTTTCGAGCTTGGCGATCTGAGCCACAGACTTGTAACCCAGGACATCGCCTTCCCAGTGCCGGCAGATCTCATCATATCTGTCGTTCCTGTTTTCTAATAGAATCTGGATTTCTCCCATTTTCTAGCATTTGTATTGTCTTTGTTATGTGGGTCATGATTGGCCTAATTTTAAAACGTATCTATATAAGCAAATTACCACAATGATAAGCAGCAGAACAAACAAAAGCCAACCAGTTTCCGTCATTCTCCCTGGATAGGGTGACCTATTCAAAGAAAACACCGTCAGGTCACCGGAGAAGTTGGGCCTCTGGATGCGTGTGGGTTCTGGTCTACTGGTGACCCAGTTAGCAGGCCCTGCTCCTGCTTGAGCCGCCTGCTGGTGGCCGTGCACCTGCTCTGGCCTGGCACGGTGACTCATGCCTGTAATCCCAGCACTTTGGGAGGCTGAGGCAGGAGGATCACGAGGTCAGGAGTTCGAAACCAGCCTGGCCAATATGGTGAAACCCCCATCTCTACTAAAAACACAAAAATTAGCCAGGCATAGTGGCATGCGCCTGTAGTGCCAGCTACTCAGGAGGCTGAGGCAGAAGAATCGCTTGAACCCGGGAGGCGGAGGTTGCTGTAAGCCAAGATCGCACAGCTACACTGCAGCCTGGGTGACAAAGCGAGACTCCGTTTAAAAAAAAAAAAAAAGACAAAAAGAAAACTTGTCAGGTAGTGCATTCAGCTGCACATAACTGAGAACACAAATAATAGTAATATAAACAAATACCAGTTTTTTCATCATGTAACAAGAGTAGAGCTAGGCATTCTGGTACTGGTACAACAGCTCTATAATTCATCATAATAGTAAGCTTGTTCTTCCTTCCTCAGCCATTCTTACCAAAAAGTATTTTTCACACTTGTGTCCTCAAAATCCTAGATTGGCAGCTCGACATCTAGCACCATCCCCACCTTCCATCCAGGAACAAAAGAAAGTGCAAAGGGCAAAATATGCATGTCAGGGAGTTTTTCACTTTTGATGACATTTTGGAGCCAGCCAATACCTTCTATTTGCAACTCAGTGGTCATATGCCTGTAAAATCTGGGAAATGCTGCTTTTTATTTATCTGAGATAGAATTAGTGAACAAAAGAAGACTAAGGTAAGCAATCAGTGGTTTCAGACAAAGATGGGAATAAAAAAATGAGTTAGTCCTGATAGAGTGATATCCTAGACTTTTTCATAGGTTTAGGGAGAAATGTCTGCTTTCCTTCCCAACACTGCCCACCTCCCCAGAACCCAGCCACAGAGGTAGACAAGCATGGATTCCCTGATGGCTTGTTCTGCAAATGGAAGAGAAGCCAGCCTTTGATTAAGGTCAGAATTACAGATGGAAGAGCAGAGAGACTGAAAAACATCAGGCACTTGTTGACACTTTTTACAAGTTGAAAAAAAAACCAAACAAACAAACACTAAAGCATCATCTACTCAGGATTTAAAATTTGAGAAAATAGATTTCCTCTTCTCTTAAGCAGTTTTCATTGAGATTCTGGTTTGTTAATACCAAGTATGTCCGAAATGATTCAAGTATAAGATTCTGTTAAAAATCAAGTATTCAGCTAATATCCATTGCCATGGTGAAACTTTTTACCATATTTTATATACAATATGATTTTCATATTAATATATAAACATTTTCCTAGAAGATACAAGAGGCAAGCAAGTATTATCGAGCTTTCACATAGTATAAATTTTATTCCACAACAGAATTTTGAAAATAGTATTCCTGGTAATAGTATTTTGAAAATAGTATTGTTGTTGATAATTCTCTAGATGTAATAAACCTTTAACATAGATAAAGGACCCAAATAATTATCTAACGTGTAACTTGATTTTTAATGTGCATAAATCATATATCCAGTTTGAACTGCACTACAATTGTGACAATCTTTGAAAAGTAGTGATATGGTTTGGGTTTGTGTCTCCACCCAGATCTCATGTTGAATTGTAATTCCCAATGTTGGGGGAGGAACCTGTTGGGAGGTGACTGGATCATATGGGTGGATTTCCCCCATGCTGTTCTCATAATAGTGAGATCTGATGGTTTAAAAGTATGTGGCGGGCCGGGCGCGGTGGCTCAAGCCTGTAATCCCAGCACTTTGGGAGGCCGAGGTGGGCGGATCACAAGGTCAGGAGATCGAGACCATCCTGGCTAACACCGTGAAACCCCGTCTCTACTAAAAATACAAAAAAAAAAAATAAAAAAAAATAGCCGGGCGGGGTGGCGGGCACCTGTAGTCCCAGCTACTCGGGAGGCTGAGGCAGGAGAATGGCGTGAACTCGGGAGGCGGAACTTGCAGTGAGCCGAGATCGCGCCACTGCACTCCAGCCTGGTCGATAGAGTGAGACTCCGTCTCAAAAAAAAAAAAAAAAAAAAAAAAAAAAAAAAAAAAAGTATGTGGCACGCGCCGCTCCCCCCACCCCCCAACATCCACGTCGCTCTTCCTCTCTCTCCTGCTCTGATACTCTTCCGCTTCACTTTCTGCCACGATTGTAAGTTTCCTGAGGCCTCCAAGACATGCTTCAGTTAAGCCTTGGAATTATGAGTCAATTAAGTTCTTTTCTTCATAAATTACCCAGTCTCAGGTAGTTCTTTATACCAGTGTGAGAATGAACTAATACAAGTAGAAAAAAAATTTTAAGTGTAATTTTTGTATGAATCAAATAATTCTTGTTCAGTATGCATCATCAGTGCTCAACATATTCTTAATTAACTATTTTCACCGATAGAGAATAAAACGATAAAATTGTATCTTCTGGGAGAAAACTTTGGACACTTAGAAATGTTACATAAAATTGTCTTTTAAATGACAACCCATGCAAATTCATTATTTCATTAAAATATTTGCCTTCAGTATATGTATACATTTTATTTTAGAAAGTGAAATATGTCTTGGGTACATGTATTCTCCTGGGGCATGTTAAAATGTTGTGCAATTGGGGAAAATGGTAAGACATTTGTAACAAGAGATTTGGATTTACTAATTATAGGCTCCTAAGCAACTTTCTGATAATCAGTTTCTTCATCTATAAAATGCAAGTAGTTATGGGTATACTCAGCGGACTCTTACTGGAATTAAAGAAACAATATTTGGGAAGAATTTTAAAAACCATCCAGTTCTGCACACTTGTTTTTAAACTTTTTCCATTACTTCTATTTTATTTTTTATTCTGTTCACTTATAAAACATAATGCCAAGTTACTCAGCCTAATTAATGTAATATTATCTAACCTTGGTTTTATACAGAACTCCAACATAATGAAATTTTATTTCACTTATACTTTAGAAACACTGTAGTGCCATTTCCTGGGCAGAAACAAGGGAAAAAGCTAGCCCTAGGCGTGGGTCTAACAGGCGAGACTCACCAAGCATATGGGCAGGCAGTGCTTCAGTGCCTGAAGTGGAGAGATCAAAAGCACAGTGGATGGCCTTTCTCTGGATGACTTCCCCAGATGCTTAAGGTTCTTGAAACAGCTGTTTCAGTGCAGGCACAGCAGGTATCTCACTCTACCCTCTTCAGATTATGGATGTTTTGCAAAGTCCTCAATGGATTCTTCTTCCTTACAAATTGGCCTATAGATTAGACATGACAATTAGCATTGGTCTATAGACTTACAGAAAGAAGGAAATTAGTCTGGAACTAAAAGAAAACATGCTGTTCACTAGTAAAACATATGACATAAATTAAGTAGAGGATTATAAATGATGAGTAGAAGAGACCTTTGAGATTGTATAGCTCATCATCCTCATTTTACAGATGCGGAATCTGATGATGTATTTTGTTAGGCGCTTATGGTCATCATCTCTGAGATTGCTAAATATTGGGGGGAAGAAGCAAAGGGAATTTTGCACACTCATTTTTTGTATGGCTATATTTTGAATTTTATCTATTTAACATAAGACATTTATATTTATTGAAACAGCAATCTTTCAAATCTTGATAATCTATAAGGCAATACTCCCAAATTTAAAAATATTATATTTTCCCTTTTATGAATGAATGTTTTGATTCAAATACAGTATTTATTATTTTTTGAATTTCAGACTCTTGCTTGGATTCTGATAAAATGTTATACATTAATTAACTCTTCATTTATTTATTCATGTATTTATCCTGTGATATTAATAAAATATCCATTACTATTCTGGCATTGTGCTAGATGTTGAAGATACAAAAACAGAGAAATGGTTCTTGTACTCTAAAGGAGAGAGTATAATGTAGTTGTCAAGAAAACTGGCTCTGGAGCTACCTTAAGTTTAAATTTTGACTTCATTACCATCTATCTAAGAGACCTTCATCAAGTTGTTTAATCTCTGTGACCCTTGCTTTCCTCATCTGTAAAATTCTCATAATAACATTATCTACCTCATAGGAATTTATGAAGATTAAATGAGGCAATCCATGCATAGTTTTAGCATGCTGCCTTGCAGTTAGTTACTAATCATTGAATAAATGTTCATTGCACATAGCATTAAAAAAAAAAAACTCCTTGTTTAGTGAGAGACTCAGAACATTATACCACTACTCTAAAATGATAAAATAAGGTCTAAGAAAGATATGCACCTCTTCTAATGAAACAACCCATGAAACAAAGATTCAGCACCAAATTCATTGTTAGAGTATAAGGCCATTTTTTTCCTGAGAAGTTAATTCTTGAATTTCTTTTCGTAGATTTTTTTTCCCATAGTTATGCGGTAGTGATTTTGAAGTAACAAAATACATGGAGTGAATATTCCTGGTAGAGTGATATTTGGATTTTAGAACCATTGTTTTAGTAGTGATAAGAAAGATGACTTGAATTTATCTGCAGAGTGGATGTCATGAACATAGAATATTGGTGGGTATGCAAAAAAAAAAAAAAAAAAAAAAAAAAAAAGCAAGACTCTGACTGCTTTTTACCTGGCCATTTCTTAGGGTTATATTTGCAGGGAGCAACCATGAGGGATAAGGGAGCATCTCTCCCTGGACAAAGCACAAGCATCCTTTCATTTACTATAAACATGATGAATCTTGCAACATCAGTGTTTCTTTGTGTTAGTACAACCCATTGCATGTGCTGGTATCCATCATAGGCACTGTACTACCCTTATGGAACTCAAGGGACATGGGGAAGTGGGGAAGCAGTATGAGCGTCATGCTGACATTTGGCCTACTGCTTTTGCCATAAATATTACAATCCTTTGCCTCTGACCCATAAGTCTAATATCTTTTTACACTATCCATGGTAAGGTAATAGATTAGCTTTGTATCTTGTCTGTATATATCCAACACCGACTGAAACAAATGGAATGTATAATACACACCTTGATAATCTTGAAACAAAGGACATGCTAAAAATATATCTTATGCTTCCATTAAACAAAAGAATACACATAGAGGTGTATTGTTTTGAGTCAAATGTATTATAGTTGTATAGTTAAATATCACTCAATTATCTCAGTTTATGTCAATATTTTTCCAAAGCTATAGAACTACTCTGTAAAATTCAACTCTTCTGCAGTGAATACTGTTGTTTTATTCTACTCTTGTCTGAATATTTAATTTGTCTTAAAGTTGGTATAAGATATAGCTAGCTTCAATGAAATGGTTATGAATATTCTTTCTAGGCACATTAGATTAGAATACTTTCCTATTTTTGAGAAAAGTAAATGAAAGCTGTACTTTTCTGTGCACACTTTGTAGAAAAGCTTCTTTATTTGGAAGTAAAATAACTCGAATTTGATAACTTATTGGAATACATTAAAATAACATCATTTTAAAGAGCCCAGTGCATATTTTAGTACAAATTTATTAAAAATATCACACTTCTATAATGCATGGTGCCTGCTAAAGAATAAATTGAGTTAACTAAAAAACATAAACAAAACCATACTATTTTTTATGCAAATTAAAATATAATTTTTAATCTTAATTTTATAGTTATTTAAATCTAAGGAAAACAGTTCATCAAATACATAGAAAAGTTCGTAAGCTATATAGAATTGGAAGGAACTTTTACAAAGTTAACTTATGGTCACTTTTTTCTTTACAGAAACTTACCAATTCAATTTTCTTGTTGTAAATTTCTTCATATCAAAACTATGTCTTAGCAAACAAATAGTAAGTTACAATTGTAAAAGAAAAATTGTGTTTTTTCTTACAAAAACAAAAGAAACAAGCAACTTTACATTATATCCTTTTGATATACAGGAGTATATTCCTTTAAAATGCATGTACCAATCTGATTTGCACTGAATTTTTTTATCTTTTGATTCTTTACCTGGTGCTTTACAAGGTCTAAAAGCCACAAAGCTTTGGTTTGAATGATGCCCAAAGTAAAGCAGAAAGCACTGAGTTTGATCTGAAACTCAAAAAATCAAAAGTTTGCCTGGCCACAAATCCTATGTTTTACTGTCTAACTGTGAATTGCAATGGGGACTAAAGTGTTGCTTTCATTCTTTTTATCCAACATTTTGAAGGGCATTTGAGAACTTGATTTATAGCTTTGAGGAAGTGAGTCTGGGTGTTAACAAGCAAAGAAAAATTTAAACATCCCATTGCATATGCTCCTTCAAAGACAAACCTTTGATACCTAGTGCCCTTGTTGAACCCTTTGATTAAATGGTTATGCCTAGATGGCATAATGGGTGGATTGAAGTTATGATTCACGTAACTCTTAAATTGTGAGAGATGTCTAAAATGTTCATACTTGAGAGGAAGAGAATGTAGAAATAGACACACTAAGTCTTTCCTACAAGAGGCCAACTTGTTTTGCAAGTATGGGATTAAAGATAGGATTTCATTGTATAAGCCAAGGAGCTTAAAAATAAACTCATAATTGAGATTGGAACAATGAGCATTATGTACACTTTTCTACTAAACTCACATTCGAAAGTGTGTGAATTGTTGAAAAATGATTTTATGAATATCTATTTTGGAAATATCTCCAGAAATCTCTTCCCAGTCTGACCAAGATGTTACAAACATATTTTAGTTTCTTTTGCCTTCAATTGGTTTAGATTGATTACTCTTCTAAAGTAAAGTAATAAATAATGTGGACATAAAGCAAGCAGAAAGCAGATATTTTGCTGCAGGAGGAAGTAGATAAAATAGCGGCAGAATTAAAGGACCAACCTGTAGCCTTAGGAGATCCCATCAGAAATCAATCTGAATCACATACATACTTCTGTGTGGTGTCAGATATTTCTCAGTGCCCTAAATTAATAACATGGATATAATTGGCTGAGATGTGTGTGTGTGTGTGTGTGTGTGTGTGTGTGTATAAAACAGAATTGCCAGACATTGAATTCCAGTTAATAGCTAACTGCCTGTGTGTAATTTTTTCAAAAACAATTTTTTCAAGTTTTTCCAGAACTGCAGTAAATATTAGAAAGTCCCTTACTTTCTTTCCTTTTGCAACAAAATATTTGCATTGAGTTGCTTGCAATGTGAATTAATGCTAAGAATTCAATAAGAAAAGTGGTGTGACATTCATTTTTAAATTTCATGCTTCATGTCACTTCACCTCTCTCCTTGCTAAATGACATTTGGTCACACTTTAACCACACAAGATGATGCAGCAGCTTTATATCTGAAAGAGGGGCAAATAGGTGGAAAGTCGCAGAAGTGTAGTGCAAAAAAAGATTAAATTTTTTTACAACTTTCCAGTGAAAAACATAAAGCTATGGTTCACAAGCCAAAATATTTTTAAGAATAAATGAATGGTTGTAATCCTATATATATATATTTACACTGAGGATTAATTCATTCCTTTCCATTAATTCACATGTAGGCATTAAAGTATTTTATATGTTACCTTTGCTGCATGTTAGAAGATGAGACATTGCATTATCATTAGTTTGCACAATATAAAAATACATAATGTTATATTCTGCAAGATCTTAAACAGTAAACGTTCTGCAAGATCTTAAAGAGATAGGAAATGAGTGTAAGTTAAAATTGATTAGCAGTCTATATTGAATTTTTAAATAACATTGATTCAACAAACAATGACTCAGAGCCTGCTGTGGGCAAGACACTCTTTAACACTCTGCATTGTAAATATTGTAATCCTCATTTCACAGATGAGAAAACTGTTAGAGAGAAGCCTTTGTTTTCAAGTTACACCAGTAGCAAGTAGAAGTATGTTCCCAAACATATCTGTCTTGGGTGCTCATGCCTCTTACTATGTATCCTACATCTTTCCTGCCATAACTAAGTCTCAACTTTTTTAAAAAAATATACTTTAAGTTCTGAGGTACATGTGCAGAAAGTGCACATTTGTTACATAGGTATACACTTGCCATGGTGGTTTGCTGCACCCATCAACCCGTCATCTACGTTAAGTATTTCTCCTAATGCTATCCCTTCCCTAGCCCTCCACCCCCCCAATAGGCCCAGGTGTGTGATGTTCCCCTCCCCTGTGTCCATGTGTTCTCATTGTTCAACTCCCACTTATGAGTGAGAACATGCAGTGTTTGGTTTTCTGTTCTGATTGTCTACTTTTAAAAAGCTTAAAGTTTAATGTTAAAGGCGGAGATATAAAAAGCTAAGTATGACTAAACAAGGTATGATACACTTGCTCTGCTCATGAGAAAATAATTGAAAAATATTAATAAGGACAGGTAAGTTTTGCTGGAGAAGATACTTATCTACTCAAAGTCTTAATGAAAACATTATATGCACAATTAAATACAGTATAAATGTAATTATAATTTTCATAGACGTAGACACATAAATAAGTAACCACTGACAGCATGAAAAAAACAGCTATTGGTAGTTATTAGGAGCACAATCTGTAGGCTACATCTGCTTCAACTCAAAATCCAATTTCTACTACTTCTCCACCCCATAGTGTCACAAAGCCAGTTTCCTCATCTGTAAAGTAAGTTTTATATGTTACAGTATTTTTTATGAGGTTTAAATGTGATAATCCATATAAATCTAGCACAGTGCCTGGAAAATAGTAAAGAATCCCATAAATTGTTATATATTTATCATGTGTGATATATATACATATATATATCCACTATATATATATATCCACTATATTTTTATATATATATATCTCCACTATATATATATATATATATATATATATATGTAGTGGAATTTGTAGACAGAGATTGAAAAGAGAGATGTATATTCTGGCTGAAAGAATGATGTTGCAAGTGCATGGAGTCACAAGTGAAACAATTTACTTGGGGATGATGATTGGTAAGAGCAGAATGCTAAGTGCAGGGTCATGAGGAGAGGCAGAAGATGATACTGAAATTCATTTTGACTTTTATGAAAGATGCATGTTTTTCTTCTGTGAATAGATTTATTATATCCTTGTTTTTACATTTTATTATTTTTTCTTTTAATTTTTAATTTTTGTGGGTATACAGTAGGTGTATATATTTATGGAGTACATGAGATGTTTTGATAGGGGTATGCAATGTGAAATAAGCCCATCATGGGGAGCAGATTATCCATCCCCTCAATAATTTATGCTTTGAGTTATGAACAGTCCACTTACATTCTTCAGGTTATTCAAAAATTTACAATAAAGTTATTATTGACTATAGTCACTCTATTGTGCTAACAAATAGTAGTTTTTTTTCATTCTTTCTATTATTTAGTACCCATTTACCATCCCTACTTCTCCTCCAGACTGCTGGTAACCATCCTTCTATTCTTTATGTCCAAGAGTTCAATTGTTTTGATTTTTACATCCCACACAGAAGTGAAAACATGCAATGCTTGTCTTTCTGTGCCTGGCCTGTTTCACTTAACATAATGATATCTGGTTCCATCCTTGTTGTTGCAAATGACTGTATCTCATTCTTTTTTATGATTGAATAGTACCCCCTTGTGTATATGTACCACACATTCTTTTTTAAATTATTATTATACTTTATGTTCTGGGGTACATGTGCAGAACGTGCAGGTTTGTTACATAGGTATACATGTGCCATGGTGGTTTGCTGCACTCATCAACCCATCATCTATATTAGGTATTTCTCCTAATGCTATCCCTCCCCTTGAACCCACCCCTCTGAAGGCCCCAGTGTGTGATGTTCCCATCCCTATGTCCATGTGTTCTCATTGTTCAACTCTCACTTATGAGTGAGAATATATGGTCTTTGGTTTTCTGTGTTTGTGTTAGTCTGCTGAGAATGATGGTTTCCAGCTTCATCCATGTCCCTGCAAAGGACATGAACTCATCCTTTTTTATGGCTGCATAGTATTCCATGGTGTTTATGTGCCACATTTTCTTTATCCATTCATCTGTTGATGGACACTTAGGTTGCTTAAAAATATTAGCTATTGTAAACAGTGCTGCAACAAACATAAGAATGCAGATATCTCTTTGGTATACCTATTTCAATTTTTTTTTTGTATGTACTGAGCTGTGGGATTGCTGGATCATATGGTAACTCAGTTTTTAGTTTTCTGAGGAAATTCCAAATTGTTCTCCATAGTGGTTGTATTAGTTTACATTCCCACCAAGAGTGTATGAGGATTTACTTTTCTCCACATCCTCTACAGCATTTGTTATTGCCTGTATTTTGGATATAAGCCACTTTAAATGGGGTGTCATGATATCTCATTGTAGTTTTGATTTGCATTTCTCTGACAAACAATGATGTTAAGTACGTTTTCATATGCCAGTTTGCCATTTGTATGTCTTCTTTTGAGAAATGTATACTCAAATATTTTGCCATTTTTTAAATCAGATTAAAAAACTTTTTCATATAGAGTTGGAGTTTCTCATATATCCTGGTTATTAATCACTTGTCAGATGGGTAGTTTACAAATATTTTCCCCCATTCTGTGGGTTGTTACTTCATTTTGTTGACTGACTGTATTCTTTGCTGTGCAGAAGGCTTTTAACTTGTGATCTCATTTGTCTGTTTTTGCTTTGGCTGCCTATGCTCGTAGGGTATTGCTCAAGAAAACTTTGTACAGAGCAATGTCCTGAAGATTTTCCCCAATGTTTTCTTGCAGTAGTTTTTTAGTTTGAGGTCTCAGATATAATCGATTTTAATTTTAATCTTTAATCAATTTTAATTTTATTTTTGTATGTGGTGATAGATACGGACCCAGATTTCTTTCCCTGTATCATTTATCATAGAGATTGTCCTTTTCCTGGTGTATGTTCTTGGCATCTTTGTTAAAATGAGTTCACTGTAGCTGTGTGGATTTGTTTCTGGATTCTAAAATCTGTTCCATTGCTCTATGTGTCTGTTTTTATGCCAGTACCATGCTGTTTTTGTTACTGTAGCTCTGTAGTATCATTTGAAACCAGGTAATTACATTACTTCCAGTTTGGTTCTTTTTGCTTAGGATAGTTTTGGGTATTCTGCATTTTTCTGTGGTTCCATATAAATTTTGATAGTTTTTTTTCTATTTCTGTGAAGAATATCATTGATATTTTACAGAGATCGAATTGAATTTTTAGATTGCTTTAGGTAATATGAACATTTTAACAATATTATTCTTCTGATCCCATGGATCAGAAGACTTTTTTTTCATGTTTTGGTGTCATCTTCTATTTCTTTCATCAGTGTTTTATAGTTTTTATTATGTAGGTCTTATACTTTTTTGGTTAATTCCTAGGTATTTAATTTTGTGTGTGGCGGAGATTACTTTTTAATTTCTTTTTCACGTTGTTCACTGTTGACATACAGAAATGCCGCTGATTTTTGTATGCTGATTCTGTATCCTGCAACTTTACTAAATTGTTTAATAGTTCTATAGTTTTCCTGTGAAGTCTTTAGGCTTTTCCAAATATAATATATCATATGTACACAAGGTTAATTTGACTTATTCCTTTCCAACTTGAATATACTTTATATCTTTCTCTTGTCTGACTGCTTTAGGTAGGACTTCTGGTACTATATTGAATAAAAGTGTTGACAGTGGGGATCCTTGTCGTGTTCCACATCTTAGAGGAAAGGCTTTCAGTTTATCCCCATTCAGTATGATCCTAGTTGTAGCTGTAGGTCTGTCATATATGACTTTTATTATGTTGAAGTGTGTTTCTTCTATGCCCATTTTTTGAGGGATTTTATCATGAAAGAGTGTTGAATTTTATCAGATGCTTTTTTGGCATCAATTGAAATGATCATATGGTTTTTATCTTTCATTCTGTTGATATGGTGTATCACGTTGTTTGATTTGCATATGTTGAACCATCCTTGCATCCCAGGGATAAATTCTACTTGGTTTTGATAGATAATCTTTCTAATGTATTGTTTTATTCAATTTGATACTATTTTGTTGAGGATTTTTGCAACCATATTCATCAGAGATATTGGCCTGTAGTTTCCTTTCTTTAAATCTTTTTTTATGTGTCTGTCTGATTTTGGTATTAGGGCAATATTGACCTTGTAGAATGAGTTTGGGCATATTCCTCCCTTCTCTAGTTTTTGGAAAAGTTTGAATAGAATTGGTATTAATTCTTCTTTAAATGTTTGATAGCATTAAACAGTGAAGTCACTGGTCCCAGGCTTTTCTTTAGTGGGAGACTATTATGGCTTCAATCTTGTTACTTGTTATTGGTCTGTCCAGGTTTTGAATTTCTTTCTGCTTCAATCTTGGTAGGTTGAATGTACTTAGGAATTTGTTGATTTCCTCTAGATTTTTCAATTTATTGGTTCGTAGTTGCTCATAGCAGCCACAAATGATCATTTAAATTTCTGCAGTATCAGTTGAAATGTCTCCTTTTTCACTTTTTATCTTATTTATTTGGATCATCTCTCTTTTTTTTTTTCTTTGTTCGGCTAAACATTTGTCAATTTTGTTTAACATTTCAAAAAAACTTTTTTTTCACTGATCTTTTGTATTTTTTAAATTTCAACTTCATTTATTTCTGCTTTGATCTTCATTATTTCTTTTCTTCTACTAATTTTGGGTATGATTTGCTCTTGCTTTTCCAGATTTTTAAGATGTAGTGTTAGAATGTTTATTTGAAGTTTTTCCTCTTTGTGATGTAGGTACTTATATCTATTAACTTCCATTTTAGTACTGCTTTTGCTTTATCCTATAGATTTTGGTATGTTGTGTTTCCGTTATAATTTGTTTCAATATATTTTTCAATTTCCTCTTTAATTTCTTCATTGACCCCCTGATTATTCAGGAGCATATCATTTAATTTCCATGGTATTTAGTAAAAATAAACTTTGTATAGTTTTCAAAGTTCCTCGTTATTCATTTTATTAAGTTCTAGTTTTATTCCATTGTGGTCAGATAAGATCCATTGGTCTAACAGTGTGATAAAGTCTGATGTTTCTTTACTGATTTTTTTGTCTAGAAGATCTGTCCAATTCTGAATGTGGGGTATTGAAGTCTCCAGCTATTATTGTATCAGGGCTAATCTCTCTCTTTAGTGCTAATAGTATGTCCTTTGTATATCTGGGTGCTTCAGTGTTGGGTGCATGTACATTTTAAATTGTTGTATCTTTTTGCTGAATTGACCCCTTTATCGTTATATAGTGAGCATCTTCATCTCTTCTTATTTTTTTTGCCTTGAAATCTATTTTGTCTGTTATAAATATAACGACCCCTACTCTTTTTAAGTGTCCATTGGCATGGAATATCTTTGTCCATCCCTTTATTTTTAGTCTATGTGTGTCTTTGTAGGCAAAGTGTGTTTCTTGAAGGTAACAGATCAATGGGTCTTATTTTTTCATCCATTCAGACAGTCTGTGTCTTCTGATTGGAGATATTAGTCCATTTACATTCAACATTATTATTGATAATTAAAGACTTACTCTTGGCATTTTGTTATTTGTTTTCTGGTTTTATGGTCTTCTCTTCCTTCTTTCCTTCCTGTTTTCCTCTACTGAAGGTGATTTTCTCTGTTGATATGATGTGTTTTTTTGCTTTTTGTTTTTGGTGTATCCATTGTGTCTTTTGTTTTGAAGTTACCAGGAGGCTTACAGATAGTATCTTATAACACCCATTATTTCAAACTGATAACAATTTAACACTATTTGCATAAACAAATAAGCAAACAAAAAGAAAACTAATAAAAACTCTATGCCTTAACTTTGTTCCCCAACTTTTAACTTTCTGTTTCTATTTATGTATTATTGTACTGACCATGACTGAAAAAGTTGTTGTAGTTGTTATTTTTGATTAGTTTATGATTTAGTCTTTCTATAATACTTAGAGTAAGAGTACTTTACATGGCACAGTTACAGTGTCATGATATTCTGTTTTTGTGTGTGTGTGTGTGTGTACTTACTATTACCAGAAAGTTTTGTATCTTCAGGTGATTATATATTGCTCATTAATATCCTCCTAGCATTGATGAAATCCAGCATCTTTTATTTGTCTTGGAAAGTCTTTATTTCTCACTCATGTTTGAAGGATATCATCACCAGTTACACTATTCTAGGGTAAAAGTTATTTTCCTGCAGCACTTTAAATATGTCATACCATTTTTTCCTGACCTATAAGGTTTCAACTGAAAAGTCTGCTGCCAGATGTGTTATATCTCCACTGTATGTAATTTGTTTATTTTCTCTTGCTGCTTTTATGATCCTTCCTTTATCAATGACCTTTGGGAGTCTGATTGTTAAACATCTTGTAGTCTTCTCTGGGTTAAATCTGCTTGGTGTTCTATAACCTTTTTGTACTTGCATATTGATATCTTTCTCTAGTTTTGGGAAGTTCTGTGTTATGATCCCTTTCAATAAACTTTCTACCTCGATCTCCTTCTCTACCTCTTCTTTAAGGCCAATAACTCAGACTGGCCCTATCAGGACTATTTTCTAGACCCTGTATATTTGCTTCATTGTTTTTTACTTTTTTTTTTTTTTGTCTCCCCTGAATGTGTATTTTCAAATAACCTGTATTCAGGCTCACAAATTCTTTCTTTTGCTTGATCCATTCTACCATTAAAGGACTCTGATGTAATCTTCAGTATGCCAATTGCATTTTTCAGCTTCATAATTTCTGCTTGATTTCTCTTAATATTTTAATCTCTTTGCTAAATTGATCTAATATAATTCTGAATTCTTTCTTTGTATTATTTTGAATTTATTTGAGTTTCTTCAACACAGCTATTTTGAATTTTCTGTCTGAAAGGTCAAATATCTCTGTTTTTTCAGGATTGGTCCCTGGTTCCTTATTTAGTTCATCTGGTGACATAATGTTTTCTTGGATGGTGTTAATGCTAGTAGATGTTCTTTGGTGTTTGGACATTGAAGAGTCAGGTATTTATTGTATTCTTCATCATCTGGCTTATTTGTAGCCATCCTCGGGAAGGCTTTCCAGATATTTGAAATGAGTTGGGTGTTGTGATATAAACTATATCTGCTTTAGGGGGCACCCCAAACCCAGTAACTCTGTGGTTCTTATAGACTCATAGAGTGAGCACCTTGATGATCTTTGACCAGATCCAGGAGACTTCTCTGGATTACCAGATAGAGACTCTTGTTCTCTTCCCTCGCTTTCTCCCAAACATACAGAGTCTCTCTCTCTCCTGTTCTGAGCCACCTAACGCTGGGGGTGGATTGACACATGCACCCCTGTGGTCACCACTACTATGACTGCACTGAGTCAGACCTGAAGGAAGCTCAGCACTAGGTCTCACCCAAGTCCTGCTGTAACCACTCGCTGGCTACTGCTTATGTTCACTCAAGTCCCTGGAGTTCTACAAGCAGCAGCTGGCAAAGCCAGCCAGGGCTGTGTCCTTCCCTTCACGTTGGTGAAGTCCCCAAGTGGGGTCCAGAGATTCTGTTCAGGAATCAGGGACTAGTGTCAAATACCTTAGAAGTCTACCTGGTGTTCTATTGTATCACAGCTGAGTGGGTACTCAAACTATGAGATGCAGTCCTTCCCACTCTTCCTTCCCCTTTTAAAAGACAGAAGAATCTCATACCATAGCCACTGCCACCCAGGCTTCTAGGAATACTGCCAGAATCCCAGTTGATGCTCCTTAAGGTCCAAGGTCTCTTAAGTCAATTTGTAAATGCTGCCTGATCCGAGGCTCACTCTTCAGAGCAGTGGACTCTCCTCTGGCCCAGGGAAAAGTCCAGTCACGCTGTCCAAGAGTCAAGTCTTGGAATTAGGAACACCAAGAGCCTGCTTGGTACTCTAACTCCCTATGGCTGTGCTGATAACTAAGGTGCAAGACAAAGTCCCCTTTACTTTTCCCTCTGCTTTTCTCAAGCAAAAGGAGTTTTCTTCCATAGCCACCATAGCCATTAATGTGCTGAGTATCACCTGAAGCCAGCAAGTCTCAGGGACTCACCTAAGGCCCTCAGTGTAGTACATGGGTATCTCTGCTGGTATTCAGGAACCAAGGGCTCTTCAGTGAGCAGATGAATGCTGCCAGCACTGGGTCCTTTCCTTCAAAGTACCAGGTTCCCTTCTGGCCCAGGGTGTGGATAGAAATATTATCTTGGAGCCAGGGCCTGAAATGGGGGTCCCACTACTCTGACCAGGTGCTCTGTCCTCTGTGGCTGAGCTGGTATCCAAGATGCAAGACAAAGTCTTCACATTCTTCCCTGTCCTCTCCTCAAGTGAAAGGATATCTTTTAGATCCTGGAGGTGTACAGCTTGGAGTTAGGGGAGGGGTGATGCCAGCACTCCCTGGTCTCCTCCAGCTGTTGTTTCAGTATGTCACATGTCCCGCCATGTATCCACTGTCTCTGAGTCTAGTTTAGAACTAGGACTCACCTAAAATTTGCAGTACCTGTGGCTTAGATTGTCTTTTAAGTTACTTGGAGACACAGAGTGCTTTAGCCCTCTCTGGCAAGGTTTTCAGGCACTCAAGTTCAAACCACTGGGATAGGCAATCCCCTTTTGGATAGGCCTGGTTTAATGCTCCTTCCATAGGCAGGCATCAGCTGAGATTTTCCTTTCTGCTCTAACAGGGTAGCACTGAGTTCAATGCCTTACAATTGCTGTGTTCTGCTTCCCGGAGTACCCAGAGATGCTTTCAGCACCATGCCATTGCTGCTGGGAGTGGCATTAACACCATCCAAGAAAACATGACCTGAAGGTGTCATAGGTGATTCAGAACTGTTCTGTTCAGTGCCTCTTTCAGCAATATAAAGTTGAAGCCAGGTACTGTGAGTGCTCAGTGATTTTTTATTCTTACAAAGTTGTTTTTTTTTTTTTTTTTTTTCTGTGTAGATAGTCATTAACTTGGTGGTCTTGCAGGGGGCTCGGAAGGATGATCAGTGGAGATTTTTATTCTGCCATCTTGTTCTTATATCCTCTTATAAATTTTTCGTATACATTTAATACCAGACTTTGAACAAAGCACTGATTTCCCTGACTTGGGTATAGACTTGGTATTTGTTGCCAGGAGGTGAAGCTCATAGAACTGACTAAGAAGGAACTCTGGGCCAGAAATTCTGAAAGAGATATCAAGTTAAATCTGTTTGGGGGTAACAGTGATGGTTTATTCATAAGGCATCAAGAAAAATAAAAATGCATCTCTGAAGAATAAATGAGAGTGCAAGAATAGACAGCAAATCTGGAAATAAAAAATATTCAATGAAATTATTTGTTTTCAAGCAACAGTAATCAACTCTGAGTAATACAAAACAGAAATGAATCAATGGAAGGATTTAGGAGGAGAACTCACAAAGTCTAGAAAACCGACTTCTGTAAAAATCAATAATCATAGCCACCACAGGTCTAGGTTAAACAAAATGAAGCAAAACGAATAGACAATTTCATCATAGCATAATTTCTTAAGTAGATGAGTTCCAAACATTTTCTGATTTAGCTTTCTCTGCTCACAATCTAGATTCCAGGGAGAAAGGACAATCAGTCTGCCTAGACTGGGTCCCTTGTAGCTTCTTGCATAAGCACCACACCTTGATTAATATTCCAACCTGATTATAGTTAAAGGTTACTTCGTGATTCCACAAAAGGAAATTGGGTTTTATTGTCAAAAACAAAATAGATGCACAAGGAGCCAAAAAAAGTTTATATTAATTAGATTTTTTGCCCTCATGGTTTCAAGAGTTTGTAATTAGGTGGAGAGTGAGAGAATATTCTGGAACCTAAGGAAGAGTTTCATGACTGGGGCAAGCCATACTATAGGTAGCTTGTTTCTCAACTGTGAAGTTGTTTTGTTATTCCGTAAGGAAGAAGTAGAGTGAGAAGCATGCCTGTGTTCCTGACTTAGGTTCAAAGTGAATAAAGGTTTCACAATTATCATTGCATCCAAGAATTTAGACTTAGGTCTAGAATGTGGCAGGTACTTAAATCTTGTATGAAGGAATTAATTGGTATATGAATAACTTTTGTATTTTTTTCCTATTTTATATCAAGTCTTTAGAGTAGATTTCTGGAAATGAGAGTTTGTAACACTTTGGAATTCTGGACAAAATAAACTATTTCAAAATGTAATGTATATTTCAAATCACCTCTAGACACAGCTTAAATGTATTTGTGAATTTTAAAATGTCCATTGACTATGTTATCAGCAATGTGGGCTAACTCTAACCTCAAAGCAAACACAAATAAATTATCAGCTTCTCTAAGAAAACAAAAACACTAGCAAAATATAACCCAACATAAGTTAGACTTTCTCCTTATAGTGAAAAAATGTGTATGTATGTGTTTTTGTTGTTTTGTTTTAAACAGAACAAGATTATATTTCAATATACAACTTCTGTATAACTAAAAAGTAAAACACCACAGTAAAATGAATGAGAAAAAATATATTTGCAATTCTAGACAAAATGTTAATATCTTTAATCATAAATGAACTCTTCAGAAATCAGTACAAAGAGATTAACATTAGAAGGGAAGTGAAAATAAAAGGAACAGAGGAAAATGGAATAGTACAAATGAGTTATAAGGCTATATGAAGATGATACAGTTAACATTAATAGCTGGGAAAGCAATTTCATTATAAATTACATTATTGATCCTTACTTGATATCTGATGTTTGTATAGCTTTAGGAAATGAAGAACTCTCAAATACTGGAGAAATTTACTCTAGTCATGGGGAGTTTACTCAAAAATGTAGATTTTTGCATCAACTTGGGCCCTGCAGCTCCAAACCATAGGAATCACTCCAACAAAGTAGTTAGATACACACCCACACATATACATATACATGTTTACTACATAGAAAATGTGTAAGTAATATATTTTCCCCCAAGAAACTACTTATGTATCAACTGGTTTATAAATTAAACCAAAATAGGAACCACTCTTTTTGAGCCCATACTTGTATAAAAACACCAGTAACTGCTCCTTAGCATTTGTGGAGGACAATGTAAACATGCTTTCACTATGAGGATGTGGTGAGTTCTCAGAAGATTTAGCCAACAAACCTATACAGAATCTTTGGATGAAGTTTTTCTCTTTTAAATATATAATAATCTTTTATCAAAGATCTTTGGGAGAAAAAACTTTCTAATATATTTATTGGAACTGCACTTTATTTAGCATCTTTAAATGCCAACTACAGTACTTACATATAAAGACAAAAATCATTATTGCCACTGCAGTCCGTAGTCCGGCCTAGGCGACAGAGCGAGACTCTGTCTCAAAAAAAAAAAAAAAAAAAAAAAAAAAAAAAAAAAAATCATTATTGCATTTATTTCCATGCTTAATAAAACTCTTTGAAATAGGCATTGTTATCTTTCTTGTACAGATTTTAAAAACAGCGTTAGGCAAGCTAAACATGTTTTCAAGCACAGGTATTTTGTAGGGGTAGAACTGGGATTTCACTGTACATCCTGTGGCCTTTTTCATATAGCAATGTAAAATGCAACATTAATCTACATGCTTTCTAAAAGACTCATTATACTGATCTCATAACGCGAATTATCTTTATTCTAGTTCTAGCATCCCATATAAATAGTAAAGAGGTGAAAATAAAAATCATCGTGAGATCAGTAGACCATCTAATTTTAATTGTTCATCTTTGGAGATCTTAGTTCAGGGCAGCTGGAGAAAATAAGTCTTTAGATAATTGCCTGATTCTGTTCAGGGGACAGAAGTGATGTGTTGAGAGCAGCGGCAAAACTGGAAAATTATATTAGCCAATGCTAACATATTGATAATAATCTGTGAATCTATTCGATTTAAATCATTAACTAAGAGTCAAAAGGTATGGATTAAATTATTATTCAAAAAATACTCCAGGAAAACAAAATGATGTCCTCATCAATGAAAACACAACCCAAATCAATGAATACTAAAGGCATTGAATCCCTCAGGCATTTTTTCTACCAAAAAACTCCCTCTATACAATTGTAATAATTAAATCAATCTAAAATTGTTGCTTATTTATTTCTTATTAACATAAGACAGCACTATGAAAAAGTCTTCTAACAAAAATAGAAAAAAATTAAACCATCTCAGGAGCATGATAGGGAAGAGGCACCACTGGTCTGGGGGAATAAACATTGAACCAAGGCTTAGCCAGCTTGGCTTTGAATTCTACCCTTCTACTTAGCTGATTTCCATGGAAAAATTATTTGGCCTTTCTGAACTTTATTTTCTTCTACGAAAAATGGAGATATTAATGTATCCCTTAAATAAAAATTTTTAACCTGAAGTTTGCCACCCAGTAGGATATTTATACATGTGAGTAGATTTTTAAGGGTTGTATATTCCCTAAAATTCTACACATCTTCTAACACAGGGGTCCCAACCTCCAAGCCACAGACCAGACAGGTACATGTCCATTAGGAACTGGGCCACATAACAGCAGGTGAGCAGTAGGCCAGGGAGTGAAGCTTCATCTGTATTTGCAGCTGCTCCCAATCACTCACACTACCTCCTAAGCTCCCCCTTCTGTCAGATCAGTGGCACCATTAGATTCTCATAGGAGCATGGACCCTATTGTGAACTACGCATGCTAGGGATCTAGGTTGCTGCATTTTTTATGAGAGTCTAATGCCTGATGATCTGTTACTGTCTCCCATCACCCCCAGATGGGACTATCTAGTTGCAGGAAAACAGACTCAGGGCTCCCACTGATTCTATTTTATGGCGAGTTGTATAATTAGTTGATTATATATTATAATATAATAATAATAAAGTGTGCAATAAACGTAATGCACTTGAATCATCCCACAACCATCCCCTCTCACTCTGGATCCATGGAAAAATTGTCTTCCACGAAACTGGTCCCTGTTGCCAAAAAGGTTGGGGACCACTGCTCTAAGAGTTTTAGAATTACCAAATTAGAGTGTCTCCAAATAATTAAGAAATAGACTTTAATAAAAATGACTGAATTATAGTTTAATAAATAATTGATTTTTAAGTCAGAATATGAATTCAGCACACAAGGATAAGATACTGCACTTCAAGGATAGTGCGTATTCAAATGATCAAGTGTGCTGAAGCCTATGTAGCACTCATGCATTTCTCTATCTCATTTTCTCATTTTTGTTTCAAATGTGCTATCACGTTATGTAACTGAAGGTAAAGAGATATTATTTATTTGCATAGCCTAACACAGTGTTGGTTGTTGATAAATGTTTGGAAGAATAAACAGAAAAGAGCCAATTGCTACATACATTAGAATACAATTAAGGTAGCATTTCCCAAAATGATATTTTGCACAACAAGGTGGCTCTGAATGAATTTTTTTTATAAACAAGAATAATTGATTAAACATGATAAGACTATGTTTCAAGTATAGGACCACTGAATGCTTCAGTAAGTTAAAATGTTCTGTGACTGTTAAAACAATAAAAACCTTTTTCTCAACATTTCTATTTTCAACAGGACTTTTACTGTTGACGTGGATTTTGTGTTTGTTGCTGTTTTGGGAGAAGAATTTGTTATTACTTATCACAAATAGAATACATGCAACATAATGCACATACTATCTAAAGAAGTTAATAGGCTCGTCCTCAGAATCCCAATCATAAGGAAATTCCCATAACTAGTACGTTCACTGCAAGTAGGTTTGTAGAGGAAAGTGTAAATGTTTTTAAAACTTATTTTTCAAATAAACGTATTTTGCTCCCCAGAATGTGGCAGATATACTTCTAGGTATTAGGAATATGCATATATCAATAAATCGCACTTGTGCTATTAATGTTTGCCAACTAAAATGGACTACATATAGAGAATAAAAAAAAAACAACTAAGCAGTGATAAGTGCAAGAGTAGAAATAGGATCAAACACTACCCAAGGGAGTAAGGAACTGTGTCAGAGGAGAGAGTCTTGCGGAGGACTTCTGCAGTCAATGGAATCCTACTTGGCCAAACAGTGAACCCTACTATGCCATGAAAATTGCAAGGGCTTAACTTCGTTTTGTGGCTGACATTGTTATTGATTATTAAGCATTTCGGTTTCTTGAATCTCTGTGATAATGATCGGAAAGAGTCGCCTAAATTGCTTTGATTCACAGGTAATTAAATGACTCTCTACTCACTTTGTGCTATGAAAGAAGATTACACAATTTATCTTGTCTAATAAGGCAGAAAAACAGTAGTAATGTGCTATTTCAGTGTTTCATTTTTTATCACATGGAGTAGTGCTAGAAATGGGCTTGCAAGAAAAATATTTAAAGTCATAATATCCACTTTTAAAGCAATTTTGTTGGATGTCAATTCATCATGCATTCTCCCACATTGCTCTGTAGGTACCAATTATGTGACTGGATACATACTGTTTACAGTGAGTGAAATGGTTAGTTTGAGATACTACTTTTTCCTTAGGAAATAAAGTAGCTAGAAGCTTTAGTCATTTCAACAATCGCTAAATTCTCTACCTTAGTAGTATTATTCTTTCAACACTGAGAAAGTTAAATTTTGACAGCCTTTTTATCAAACTAATTGAAAGGCCCATTGCTTTAATAAAGTTAAGTACTTCACTCGTGTCCTTTAAAAAGGTGTGCTTTATAAAACTGCCCTTCATATTTCAGTGAAAAATAAATTTTCAAATGGATGCAGGTTATGTTGCCCAAATTCTAATATTAAAGAGTATATATCCTAAGTATAAGAGGATTTAAAAAAATATTTATTTCACAGTTAACAGGCTAAATTTATAATGGAAGCATAAACTTACTAATGGAAGAACGTTTCTACAGTTGTATTATTGATTTTCAATCTAAGATGGTATCATGCTGCAAGACAAGTGTTAACAAAGTTTTGACATAGAGTCAGCATGTAGGAAAGTGAGCACGGGTGTTCACCTCTGAATAGAGGTGGGAAAGTGAAATTTTACCAGTCTGAAGAGGGCAACTCTTATATTAACATATACTACTTAGAGCTAGATATGCTAGTTAGAGATTCAATGGCCATCTAAGACTATGGCATGAGCTTGGCAATGGAAATTTCCTGTGGAGAACAAGATAGAAGGAGCCTGATTCCTGACACTAGGAAGCACGCAATGTGGATTGTAAACTAACTTTTTTTCCTTAGAAAAACATTTTAATTTTGATAGTTTTTATTTTGTTTTGCTTTTGTTTTTGCTATTGCTACACTCAGCCAAACCTAAATTTCAATAATTTAAGTTGCTATCAGGAAACGCTCACAATGAATAATATATGGGAAAACAAAGCTAGAAATAGTTTGATGCTAGTTATGAGGAAAATATATAATAAGAAGAAAGGGGAGGAGGAGAAGAAAGAGAAGGAGGAGCACTGGAAGAAACTGGAAATAAAAATATTAAATATGTTCATCTTAGTGTGTATCTTAGAGATTATAAGTAACTGAATTATTTGTTTTATATATTTTACATTTTCCCTGTGAAGTAAAGTTTTAATAACTTTATAGTAAAAATAAATTTATACTAAAAGTTAATAAAAAATTGACAGTGCTCAGAAAAAGTGAAGGAAATTAGTTTGTACTTCACCAGCCAGATCCTGTAAGAGTCCCACCCACTGGCTTCCTTTTTTTTGCTGAACTCTCTTGATGATGAAACACATACCTATTCTCCAGTGATTATAAAAAAGGGCAGTTCAAAAGGTGAACGAAGGGTCATTATAAACACTGAGTGAACAGTGAGGGGAATATATACTTTCATCACATAGAGCTACCACCATCTATTTTAAAGTTTTGTAGGGGAAACGATTATTAGATTGAGTAATTTAAAGAGTTATGCACACTTCTGCAGAGAAAATTGAAGTGTATAAAGCAAAAAACACTACCAAGTATAAAACATGCCTATAGTAGAAGAGAAATCTGTAATGTCATAGCATGAATGTTGGTCACAAAGGTACACAAAAGGTTTGCAGAGGTGCAAATCTGGATAACTGAAAGAACATTTCAGCAAAGAAGGTACTGATTCCCATGTTCTATTGTTAAGGGTTGAATCGTGTCCTGTCGAAATTCACACATTGAGATTCTAACACCAAGTACCTCGAAATGTGACCTTATTTGGGAATAGGGATGTTGCAGATGTTATACTTAAGATGACAGCTATTGGCGCAGACTTCTAATTCACTATGACTAGTGTCAGTATAAAAAGAGGACATATGTGAAGAGACACACAGGAAGAAAATATGAAAATGTTATGTAAAAATGAAGGCAGAGATTGGGATATTACTTCTATGTAGTAAGGAATGCCAAAGATTGCAAGTAAACCGCTAGAAACAAAGGGAGAGCTGTGGAACAGATTCTTCCTCATAGCCCTCAGAAGAAGCACACCTTCCTGGTACTTGAATCTCAAGCTTTTCACTAACATAACTGTGAGACAATACATTTCATTTGTTTAAGCCGCTCAGTTTGGGGTATAGTAGCCCTAAGAGACTGATACATCTTCCAACTTGAATTCATGTCTCCTCCACACACACATTCTCATTAATTCTCTTTTTTTCTCTTTGCCTCATACATACATATTCTGACAATTCACAGCTCCCACTCCCTTACACCATCATACCATCAAGTATTGAGCCCCGTCAATTGTAATAACTAGACACTATTACTTTATTTCAGGCCAACTATAAATTCCCGTTCAACAACTGATCTCTAATTTCTAGTAGTGCGTGATTTTTCTGAAAAAGAAAATTACATTAATCTGTATTACCGTGGTTAGGTTGTCATCACAGACTGTCACAGACTGGGAAGCTTAAACAACAGAAATCAATTTTCTCACATTTCTGGAAACTGGAAGTGCAAGATCAAGGTGCTGGCAAGGTTAGTTTCTCCTGAGGCCTGTCTTCCTGGGTTTGCAGACAGCCACCACCTTCTTGCTGTGTCTTCATACAGCCATTTGTCTGTATATACATGGAGAGGGAGAGTTCTCTGGTGTCTCTTCCTCTTTTTATAAGAACACCAATACTATTGGATTAGTGCCCCACTCTTATGACCCTATTTAACTGTAATTACCTTCTTAAAGGCCCTGTCTCCAAATACAGTCACATTGGAAGTTAAGACTTCAACATATGAATTGTGGGGAACTAAAAATGTTATATATTAATGCATGAGTGCTCAACAGAGTGAAGCCAAACCCACTGTGGCAATTGGGCATTGTTTGTTGGGCCAAGTTAGCTCACTAAAAAAGGTCATTATTTATAACAGAGAGTTAGAAAAGGCTTTTGATATTACACAGAGGTACTAAGTTTTTCTAAGTGAAATTCTATCATATATTTCAAAATGCAAATTATATATGACACACAAAAACCTAGAGTAAATGGAGGAATGTTTCTTAAATGATTTGGCATTAGTATAATTTGAGCTTACTTTACATGATGATGAAGACAAACTAATATGCTCATAAAAACATTTTGGAAAACAAAAAAAAAACACTTTGTAAATCTTATGAACATAAAGCTCTTCTATATTATGTTATAATAATTAATAACATTGTGAAACTTTTAGAAGTTTCAGTGAATCTGATATCTGAAATGATAAACGTAAATCCGGGGACACTCTCAGTGCCACAATAAAAAACAAACAAACAGACAAAAAAATTTGCTTCAAATAAGGTTTGGGGAAAAAACATCTGATATGATTCAGTAAACATCTACTGACATCATTTTTTATTACTAGCCATTGGCTCACCTAACCTTTCTGAACCTCAGTTTCTTTTTATGCAAAATGAGCTGAAAACATAGACTGCAACCAGTTAGTAGATTACTACAGAAAATCGATGCAACAATGATTGTTGCATGGTGAATGAAGCCATACATAAATATAAGAATTCCTAGTAGTGCTTTTGGGTGAGGAAACAGCCTGTAGATTGGTTCTTTAGGATAGATAAAATGCTACGGAAGCGGGGAATGGGAATTTGATTAACTATGTAGAGTGAGAATTTATGTTTTCCTTTTTATGGAAAAGAATTATAGAAATATTAATCACGTTTTAAATATAAAGAATAAGGATGTAAAACAACTTAATTTTTATAGTTTACAAAATAATCCCATTAAAAAGTGAGGAAAGGACATGAACAGACACTTCTCAAAAGAAGATATACCTGTGGCCAAAAAGAACATGAAGAAAGCTTGGTATCACTGACCATTAGAGAAATGCAGACCAAAACCACAATGAGATACCATCTCCTGCCAGTCAGAATGGCTATTAATAAAAAGTCAAAAAAGTAACAGATGCTGGCAAGCCTGCAGAGAGATAGGAACACTTTTACACTGCTGGTGGGAGTGTAAATTAGTTTGACCATTGTGGAAGACAGTGTGATGATTCCTCAATGATCTAGAACCAGAAATACCATTTGACCCAGCAATCCCATTACTGGGTATATACCCAAAGGAATATAAATCATTCTACCATAAACACACATGCACACAATGTTCATTGCAGCACTATTCACAATAGCAAACCAAAGATTTGCTATTGACAGAGAGTCAATCAAAGATTTGCTGTTGTGAATAGTGCTGAAATGAACATATGTGTGCATGTGTCTTTATTATTTATTTTCCCTAAAATTTAGGGAGTAACTCTAAATGCCCATCAATGACAGATTGGATAAACAAAACATGCTACATATACATCATGGAATACTATGCAGCCTTAGAAAAAGAATGAGATCATGTATTTTGTGGGAACACGGATGGAGCTGGAGGCTATTATCCTTAGCAAACTAATGCAGAAACTGAAAACCAAACACGGCATGTTCTCACTTATAAGTGAAATCTAAATGATAAGAAAGTATGAACAAAAAGAAGAAAACAACAGGCACTAGAGTCTACAAGAGCAGGGAAGGTGGTAGGCGGGAGAGGGGCTTACATAGGTAACAAACCTACACGCATACCCCCAAACCTAAAATAAAATTTAAAAAAATTAAAAACAATATAAGCCACATACTTTTATTTTATCATAATTGGTATTAGTGTTTTCATGAACATAAAAGTTATATGTATTCTACTTAAATCCATTATTTTTTGGAACACATCATAATTTCATCAATAGGTGAAGCATATATTTTAATACACTTTATAAATGACTAACGTAGAGCTGAAAGTTTTCGAGACACAGTTTTGAGACTCATAAAGAAGAAACACATGGATGAGATTAAGATCTTGACTTTTTTTTCTGTGTTATATGTCCTTTTTTGTACAGCCCATTGCCTCTTCTATGAAAAGACAGTAATTACTACATATTGAGATCAGATTACTCAATGGAGCACCAATAATAGTATGGCTGAGGATTACAAGTCTTGTGATTTGTACCAGGTGGCACCTCTTTTGCTTTTGGGTGCAAGACATTCTGGAAGTTAACAGAACATTTGTAAAAATTTGTTACACATGTTATAACTATATTTTACCTATGTTATTACTTATTACATATGTTAATATAATATATGTTTAAAAAACTGGTTTTAGTGAAACAAGTTGTCTCTATCTTGCTGTCTTTATAATTTCTTGGAAAAAATTCCAGCAAAAATTCTGGAAAACATGTAGTTTTTAGTGTGTCAGACATTTAATGCAACCAACTTTATAAAGAAATAGGGTAGAGATTGGGGAAAGCACCTTATAATTTAAGGCCTCAAAGCATAATCTCTGAGATTCTTTACTTTAAAAAGTATCCTAAGTCAATATTAATATTTTGTGGATACTTCTCTTAAAAGCAAAAAACATTCTGACACTTTAACTGTTGCTACCTTTAGTTTTGAATGATGAATCAGCCAGCTAGCCCATTCTCTCCAAGAACTACTGATTGAGGCCCAGAGCAATCAAAGTTCCTAATTTGGAGGAGAAATGGCATGGCCATCATCTTAGAAGCCTCTAGTAGTGTCTTCTTATACATTCTGCCCACCACCTGCCTGGTTACCCTAGACCTTTTGAATCAGCTTTTCCGGAATAGAAATTGAACAACTATATTTAAAGCTCTCCTAAGTATTCCTGATACACACCATTCCTTGCAAAACACTGGCCAAGAGGCAATAGTGCTTTATGAAAGAGAAAACCATTTTACTATTTCCCAAATGAGTTTCATTTATTAGGATTATTTCAACAAGACTTTAGGGCCTCTTTCGATTCCCACAGCACTATACTGATCAATGGCTCTCTGTCTAAGATCCTCTTTATGTTTGGTTCCAATATCAATCTGCATTTCTGGTGAGATGAAATGTTCCTGGTAAATACAAGACTGGTTCTTGCTCTTCACAGTGCTACTTGACAATTTGTTAAAAAAAATCATCTCTTGAATAAATGTCATAAACACAATCTAATGTAGGGCTACATCTATCAAAAATCATTGTTTTCCAAATAAAAAACTTTGTGAATAACATATTTTTCTCCTAAAAAATGAGATTAGAACAGGAAACTTGCATATTCACCCATGATCAAGTATGTCTGCAAAATGAGGTACTCTTGTTTAAATAATGATTTATGCCTATATACTTGTATATTTTATTCATATTAGATATAATTACCTTGCATTATTACATATTACAACAGAGGCATTTACCTTAAATTAAAACTTATAAATCTTGATCATGTTAGATTGTTATTTTATTTATCCTATCTAGCCTAAAAATACTGAATTTCCATGGGACCCACTTCAAGAAAGAAAGCCCTTTACTTTTATTTGAAATCTTTAAGGCTTTGAAATGTTTGTTCTCATTTGACCCATCCCCAAAAAAGCAAAAAGCAAAAAGATTCATGAAGGTTATCAATTACAGTGTACAGTGCTTTCTGTGAATATCAATCACGGTATTCACTCTCAGAACTAAGCAGTAAAAGGGAAGAATATGAAAAGCCTCCACTCGGTCATATCTGGTGTCATTCCTAGACGACATGTTTCCAGGGAAAGCATTTTTTTGGTTTTTTTTTTTTGTTTGTTTTTTTTTTGTTTTTTTTTTTTGCTCTTGCCAAACTGGATCATTTATATTATAGAATTCCCTTCTACCCAAAGAATCTATAAGCAATACACCAAAGACTTCAGAGGGACATGAATAGAGAATTTACAAGATTATATACACAGGTACACTTCAAAAATTTTACCTTAGGCCTTCCTTCCAAAATTTTACTTTTGTGCTTCAAAACCATAAGCTTTCCTAGCCCCCATGCTGTGATAATAGCTAAAGCCTTCATAGTTTTTACATTCTCACTTTTTAGTTATATTCTGGACTCCCATTCTCCCACCTATTCATAATGCAGGGCACCATACTCCTCTCCAATATCATCTCCTCGTTTGAATATCATCACCTGTTCATTATTTAATAAAATCTTTTAATTTGAATGTTATATTCATGCTTAACAAAGCAGTCTTTAAAATTCTCTTTGGAGAAAAACTTGTGATGAATGGACACTTCAAATTAGCATTATTTTGCAAAATTCTTCCTTACTAAAGATATGCAGGAGGAATTTTCAACATGTGAACACCAGGGTTAGTGTAAGAGGCTTCAAATTCTATATGCATACCAAAACATTTGCACCATGTATGTGGAATGGTTTTTCAAATGTAAATAAAATGCATGCCATTAAAAACAATATTAACAGCTTTTTGTAGTCTACTTATGTGAACTAATAACAAAATTATCACATGGGTATTATCTGCAATAAATTCCAGTTACAATTTTTGAGAAACACCTAAAGAAGGCACACTTGAAATTCCAAACATTTACTTCATTTTCAAATGGAGCTAACATTGGCCTACCTCCCGTCATCCCTATCTCAGCTCAGTGTAGTTCATTTGGTATTGAAATTGGGATCCAGTCCCTTCTCCAAAAAGCATGAGGTCAATAATATGAATAATATGAAAGGACTTCAGTGATTGCCCCACCCACTCACCTATGATTTTCTTTTTACACACTATGACATTATCAACCAAGTCAAGATTAAATATTTTCATATTGTCTTTTCTAGCAACAATAGTTGAGCTACATGGGTTTTTTATTATTGATTTCAGCTTTGACCCAAAACCCATAAAGTTTATGAGGATATAGGAAGTGTATCCTATCAGGAGAAGACCTCAATTATTTTTGGGATAACAAGGCAGACACCAATTTTGTCTATTTGTTTGGATTCTTAAATATAACAATTGTCACTGAGAACTGATGATAACTGTTTTAATGGTTTAGACAAAAACTTCTTATTAAGGTTTTTCTTCCCAAATCCTGCACTGTACAAAGGAATAGTTATGTTAACTAATAACACAAAAGACTTCCAACTCCCATGCCTGCTTCATTCATGCTTCTGAAGCTTAAAATGTTCTCTTTTGAGAACTGAAGAGGAAAACATGAGCAATCTGTACCTTAGCATCAGTGATATTCTTGAATGTATTACTCACCACTGATAATTTTGGGTCTACACTATGGGAGTCATAAACGTTTCCCAAATTTTTGCATCACAACCCAACCAATGCTAATAGAATTAATGCCATTTGAAAAATCACACCACCCTTACAAGACAGAATTTATAAAGAGAAATAGAAATATAGAGATATAGATGTTTTCTGTTGTTTTGGTAACTTCTGTTTCTCTCTCATATATTTTAATATTGAGAACAATAATGTTACAAATATAGTAGGAGAGCTTCATCCATTGATAGACTTGTAGGAGATTTTGTTCTAGAAATATTTCTTTAATTCAGGCAGACATTTTTGTAAAGTGTATAGAAAACTAATTTTTCACTCAGAGATACCAATAACTGGATTGTTCTTGCCAAGCTGTTATTTGCTATCATGAACAAAGCAACTTTACATATTGCAAATGGAATAATTAGAGACTCTGGTATTCATAATATGTAGCAATTGAAACACTTTCTGAGATTTGGTTACTCTTATACCTGAAATTGTGCTGTCTTTTTTAGCTAAGAGTGAAGTGTCACGTTTTTGTCATAGCGGAAATGTGATGAACATTGTTAAGTGTTTATAATTATTATTTTTTAATTCAATATAGCTCAGGAGCTAACCACAGACAATATCAGCTGAGCTAAAAGTACCTTTCCTTTTCCTGTTGCTGTATCCTCACATGATTTCTGTGGCTGAGATCCAATTTCTCACTTGGAAAACAAAGAAAGAAAGTTAAGATGATTAGGGCTATGTCAGCAAACAATTAAATGAATTTGGTTATTTTTTCCAACAATTAATTGATTCAATGAAAACAATCAACAAGCTAATTGCTTTACTAAATTAATAAATCACCTGAAGCAATCAATCCTGTAGCCCTAAATCTAGCTCTAATATCAGGAAGAAAACACTAAGCCAGGTATCACACAGTTAAGTCTTAATCAGTATTATTCAGTTGGAATTGTAAAACGGTGTTGTACAAATAAGAGTTTAATTTTTCTAAAACACCTTACATATTATTATACACAATTTAAAATAATTCCAGCGTACTTTAAATTATTTGCCAAACATTAAATATTAATAGTGGAAAAAGGATAAATCGTGAAACTAGTGATCTTAAATAGTTATAATTTTTGGATATGTTACATCAATGTATCAGTTCCGCTTCAAGAGAATATTTTTTTCTAAAAATATATTAACTTATTTAATGGCTATATTGCATTCTACCAACTGAATTTCTTCATTTTTCTCTTTTTTTTTTTTTTTTTTTTTTTTTGAGGTGTAGTCTCGCTCTGTCGCCTAGGCTGGAGTGCAGTGGCGCGATCTCGGCTCACTGCAGACCCCGCCTCCCGGGTTCATGCCATTCTCCTGCCTCAGCCTCCTGAGTAGCTGGGACTACAGGCGCCCACCACCACGCCCGACTAATCTTTTGGATTTTTAGTTGAGATGGGGTTTCACTGTGTTAGCCAGGATGGTCTCGATCTCCTGACCTCGTGATCCGCCCACCTCGGCCTCCCAAAGTGCTGGGATTACAGGCGTGAGCCACCGTGCCCGGCCTCATTTTTCTTTTACTATGATGTTGCCTACACAGAAGGCCTCTAGAAGGGTTTCTTTTTTCAATATTATGGATGCCTATGACCACCTTTTTATATTTTAGGATGTTTCATTGGTATATATTTTCAAATAATTGACCAGAGAGCATTTCTATACCTTTTTATCAAAGTATTTCATCATCTTTATTATATATTGTCTGTTTAGTCTCCAGAATAACCAAATAAACTCACAAACCATTAACATATCTAAACATATGCATACTTCCACATAGTCTGGCAAAACAGTTAATGAATTGTGTTAGATTAGCAGGTGTAAAGTCAGTCATTAAAATTGTCTCAACTTGCATTGTTATGCATAACTTTAACAAAATAGTTACTTTAACTATGTTATCTTACTTTTTTTATACTTTAAGTTCTGGGATACATTTGTAGAACGTGCAGTTTTGTTACATAGGTATACACATGCCATGGTGGTTTGCTGCACCTATCACCCCATCATCTACCTTAGGTATTTCTCCTAATGCTATCTCTCTCCACCCCCCGACAGGCCCCAGTGTGTCATAGTCCCCTCCCTGTTTCCATGTGTTCTCATTGTTCAGCTCCCACTTATGAGTGAGAACATGCGGCGTTTGGTTTTCTGTTCTCGTGTTAGTTTGCTGAGAATGATGGTTTCCAGCTTCATCCATGTCCCTGCCAAGGACATGAACTCATTCTTTTTTCATGGCTGCATAGTATTCCATATGTTGTCTTAACAATTTACATTATTTTTGTCCCTTGAAATAATTTTTCCATAATTTCTCTTTAGCTATATGTATATAATTCTTTCCAATTTGCAGGGTAATTTTGCTATGTTTTCCCATTATTGCTCTTGCTGTATTTGTTTGATTACATTTAATAAAGCCAAAATTTTATAGACATATACATATGTTTTATATATGTAAAACATATATTCTGACTGGATGTGGAGGCAATAATCCAAGCACTTTGCGAGGCCAAGGCAGGTGGATCACTTGATGTCAAGAGTTTGAGATCAGCCTGGCCAACATAGTGAAACCTTGTCTCTACCAAAAATAAAAATAAAAATAAATAGCTGGGTGAGGTGGCGTGCACTTGTAGTCCCAGCTACTGAGGAGGCTGAGGCACAAGAATCACTTGATCCTGCGGGATGGAGGTTGCAGTGAGCGGAGATCGCACCACTGCACTCCAGCCTAGGCGAAAGAGTCTCTGTCTCAAAAAATAAAAGTATACATATATATATAATATATCTTAATAATACAGAATATAAGTATAATATAATATATATATTCCTGTTGTTAGTTGAATTTCTCTATTTTTTAATATTCCTTAATTTTGTTCCTGTCCTCATTGTTGTGTTGCTTCTGACTTGTCATTATTAGAATAACATTGATCTAATTTGAATCCTATACTTTCCAAATTAAGATTTTTTAATTTAAAAAATGTATTATTTAGTGCCTGTTCCATGTAACTCTATATTTCAAATGGTGAAATGTCTTTTTCCTTGGAATCTCCATAGCAAGTATTGTGGATTATACCTTTAGGATTCCCTATTTTAGTGTATTTCCACAAATTACATGGTCTAAAACTTGGTGTCATAATTCCTTTACAAGTATCCACTATGCAGTAAGTGATTTTATTCATTAACTCTTCACAAGAGCATGAAGTGTTCTTCAAAGCCCAAGTTTCATCTCTGTCAGAGCCACCTGAAATGTTTCAACAAGGACTGCCGAGTCAAAAAATAAAAATAAAATAAAATCTCTGAGGGCTAGGCCAGGAATAACTACAACTTTTTCCCCATTTATTACATTACTTTTTAGTGGATTTTTTTTTTCTGCCCACCAAGGTCTGAGGACCACTATTCTACAACTGAATTTTCATCTCTCCCCTTCTAAATATGAGGAAATAAAGGCTAGGAGAAGTTAAATGTGTTGCTTGAAGCTGCCTAATATGGAGGCATGGAGTGAAGATTATAGATCTGGTAGCTTTTCTTCAAGGCTGACTTTATGCCTACCTGATAACACCAATTCACTCCCTCTGAGGAAATAATTCAAAGAGCCTGCAGCTTTTTATTCCATCTGATCTAAAATTAACAAATTTATATTGATTCAAATGAATATTGGAAAAGTAAAATGTGGATTTGCAAGTTTGGATGACATTGAAGCTAAAAAGAAGACAATTCTAGTTGCAATACTTATTTATAACAGACACATCTTTAGAATTATAAATATGTCATCATATAATCTGTAAAATAAGCTATATAATCTATGCCATAATTACCATATTATGCCTATTTCTATATGCTTTGGTTTATGCAGTATCTCATAGCAAGATAATATGAAAGCACACATATCCACGCAGATATACAGACATCCATCTCTAGCTTAAGAATTACTACTTAGCTTGGCCCAGTGGCTCAAGCCTGTAATCCCAGCACTTAGGGGGCTGAGGCAGGAGGATTGCTTGAACTCAGGAGTTTGAGACCAGCCTGGGCAATATGGTGAGACCCCATCTCTTCTAAAAATACACAAGAAAAAAAAAAAAAGAGCTGGGCATGGAGGTACCTGTTTGTGGTCCTAGCTACTCAGGAGGCTGAGGTGAGAGGATTGCTTGAGCCCAGGAGATGGACGTTGCTTTGAGGCAAGATGGTGCCACTGCACTGCAGCCTGGGTAACAGAGTGAGACCCTGACTCAAACAATACAACAACAACAACAACAACAAAATTACTACTTTAATTCTTTTTTAAATACATTTTTCACATACTAGATGTGCTCATAATAAGGTGTGCCTCTGACAATTCAGAATTACACCATGTTTAGAGAGAGAATGGTTGCAGAATGTTACAGAATTATAAGTTGTAACAAAATAGTTCCTTGACTTCAAACTATACTACAAGGCTACAGTAACCAAAACAGCATGGTACTGATACCAAAACAAAGATATAGACCAATGGAACAGAACACAGCCCTCAGAAATAATACCACACATCTACAAACATCTGATCTTTGACAAATCTGACAAAAACAATAAATGGGGAAATGATTCCCTATTTAATAAATGGTGCTGGGAAAACTGGATAGCCATATGTAGAAAGCTGAAACTGGATCCCTTCCTTACACCTTATACAAAAATCAATTCAAGATGGATTAAAGACTTAAATGTTAGACCTAAAACCGTAAGAACCCTAGAAGAAAACCTAGGCAATACCACTCAGGACATAGGCATGGGCAAGGACTTCATGACTAAAACACCAAAAGCCATGGCAACAAAAGCCAAAATAGACAAATGGGATCTAATTAAACTAAAGAGCTTCTGCACAGCAAAAGAAACTACCATCAGAGTGAACAGGCAACCTACAGAATGGGAGAAAATTTTTACAATCTACCCATCTGACAAAGGGCTAATATCCAGAATCTTCAAAGAACTTAAAGCAAATTTACAAGAAAAAATCAAACAAACCCATCAACAAGTGAGCAAAGGATATGAACAGACACTTCTCAAAAGAAGACATTTATGCAGCCAAGAAACACATGAAAAATTGCTCATGATCACTGGCCATCAGAGAAATGCAAATCAAAACCACAGTGAGATAGCATCTCACACCAGTTAGAATGGCAATCATTAAAAAGTCAGGAAACAACAGGTGCTAGAAAGGATGTGGAGAAAAAGGAAAACTTTTACGCTGTTGGTGCCACTGTAAACTTGTTCAACCATTGTGGAAAACACTGTGGTGATTCCTCAAGGATCTAGAACTAGAAATACCATTTGACTCAGCCATCCCATTACTGGGTATATACCCAAAGGATTATAAATCATGCTGCTATAAAGACACATGCACACGTGTGTTTATTGCAGCACTATTCACAATAACAAAGACTTGGGGCCAACCCAAATGTCCAACAATGATAGACTAGATTAAGAAAATGTGGCACATATACACCATGGAATACTATGCAGCCATAAAAATTGATGAGTTCATGTCTTTTGTAGGGACATGGATGAAGCTGGAAAACATCACTCTGAGCAAACTATCACAAGGACAGAAAATCAAACACCACATGTTCTCACTCATAGGTGGGAATGAGAACACTTGGACTCAGGGTGGGGAACATCACACACCAGGGCCCATTGTGGGGTGCAGGAATGGGGGAGGGATAGCATTAGGAGATATACCTAGTGTAAATGATGAGTTAATGGGTGCAGCACACCAACATGACACATGTATACATATGTAATAGTTCCCTTGAAAGAAATTTTGATTCTCATAAATAATAAGTGCAGGTATTATATATTATATAATAGTTTATGACTCATGGCCTATGTCCAACACAAATAAAGTGTCATATTTACATAAATAAATCTATTAACCAATTAAGGGGGTTATTTATTATTTTGAGATGAAAGCAACATAAAACTTCAGGGTTGCCTCATTTTGAATACAAAATAGGAATATATACCAGATTTGAGCAACAATTCAGATTCACACAATTTTAAATTAAGACTAGGATGGCCAGGCACAGTGGCTAACACCTATAATCCCGGCACTTTGGGAGACTGAGGCGGGTGGGTCAGGAGTTCGAGACCACCCTGGGAAACATGGTGAAACCCCATCTCTACAAAATATACAAAAATTAACCAGGTACGGTGGTAGGCACCTGGAATCCCAGCAACTCAGGAGGCTGAGGCACAAGAATCGCTTGAACCCAGAAGGTGAAGGTTGCAGTGAGCCGAGCTCATGCCACTGCACTCTAGTCCGGACGACGGAGCAAGACTCTGTCTCAAAACAAACAAACAAACAAAAGAATAGGGAACATAACTTTAAATTTAAATAACTTAGAATATTTTAATAATATATCATAATCAAAGGAAATGAGAGAGGAAGAAAATAAGAAAATGGTAGAGGAACAAGTAACAGAGACAGAAAGTAAAAATTAAAAGAAAAGCAAGGGAGGAAAATATGTAAGTTACCATTACATCTTGTTTGTATTGGACGAAATGAAGTGATAACAAGAGTACCAGTGGTACTGTGTGTGAGGTAGAGGGAGGCTATAAAGTGAAGCCTCGTTGAGTTCACAGGGGACAGACTGGTCACAGAGATGGTCAGTAGCACAAGGAGACCTGTAAGATGTCCCTAGCATGTGGACAGGAGCCCACTGAGGCACTGGCAGTGGTAAATTAGGTAGTATGTGGGAAGCAGAGCGAAAGGGACAGGGAGGTTCAATTTAATTTTAGTGGCCAGAAAAATGGCTTGAATAGAGCTATTTTAAAGATTTGTGTCTCACACCTGACCCAGAGGAATAGAGAACAGAAAGAAAAAAAGAAAGAAACACACATACACACGCACACACCTGATGAGAGATAGAAATACAAAAGAGGGAAAGTTAGAGAGAAGCACGCAGATAGAACAATAGGTCCTCAGGTGCATATGAAGTAACCTGCCCCTGTGATACAGAGGTGATAGGCCTCTGAGGGTTATCACTTGTTATCTTTAAAAAAATTGTAGCTGATTCTGTTCACAGCCATTTATTCTTTTTCCTCAAATTATAAAAGTTTTCCTCTGACATAGAACTGAGAAGGCAATGGAGCCAAGAGATAAGTTATTCTATAGGTGGTTGTGGTGACCTTGACTAGAGGTTTATTATCTCCAAAATCATGTGAAATGAATCAGATATTACAAACCTATGAAATTATGCATTTCTTGTAGTAGGCATAAAGAAATAAATAAGTGGTTGAATAAAATCAATTATATGATGAGAGCATCATTACATAAAACATCTATGATTTTGATCCAATAATTTAATATTTGTAGCTTGATATCTATTACTTATTTTCTGTGATTAAATGGAGACATAAAATATACAGAGACAGAGCTCAGTTCTGTACATAGTCACACCTGGGTGGGATATTTTGCTCCTTACTTCTCTCTTGAGCAAGATGCTTAATTTCTTTGAACTTCTGTGTCCTCATCTGTAAAGTGAAGATATTTATAGTGCAAATCTCAAGAGGTTGTAGAGAAGATTTAATAAGAATATATTGTGCATATTAAGTGCTCACTAAATGTTAGCTATTATTATTAAGAGGGTCAAAAGAGCCTACAAAGCTTAAGCTTGTGCTTTATCAGATTCTCTCTCGAATGAAATTATCATCATACCATTTCTCTCTGAACATGATGACCTCTACATGTTATAAGCCCCACAGAAATTAGCCCATCTGTAGATAGCACAAAAAATTAATAAAAGTGCCAAAAATATTTTTACTGAGGCCTAATGTTGGAAAAATACTGAATAAAACAATGAATTCAATATATTGTTACTTGCAAAAATCCCTAAAGCAACTAACCCTCCACGACACAGTTTTTGCTTTTTGACTAGAGGGCATTCCTGAAAACACTGGATAAATGGCAGAATCCATCATTCCTACATTTCTGCATAACTTTACCTGAAGTTACACAATTATCTTCTCAAATAATTGAAGTGCTAAATGGAACCAAATAATTATTCTAAAAATCATCAGCAGGTCAATATCACATAGCTATTAACACTAAAGACAACCAGGACAAATTTCTTAAATAGATCAATCAATTAAGTCTCTTTTTGACAGCTTTATTGAAGATTATTGACATACAACGACCTGCACTTAATTTTAGTATACAATTTGATAAATCCTAATATATGGATACATCATAAAACAATTACTACCTTCAATATAATTAACATTTCCAACATCTGCAAAGTGTTTCTTTCCAATACCTTTCTCCTACCCCTCCATGGCCATCCCCATCTCAGGCAACCATTAATCACTTTCTGTCACTATAGAATAGTTTGTATTTTCTAGAATTTCATATAAATGGAACTACAAAATAACACATTCCTGCTGTGTCCATTCAGTGCAATCCATGTTGTTTTGTGTATTAATATTTTGTTATTCTCTAATGCTGAATAGTATTTAATTGTGTGGCTATACCACAATTTGTTTATACATTCAACCAATGATGGGCGTTTGGATTGTTTCCATTTTGGGCTACTAAAATTAAAGGTACTATAACCACTTGTGTATAAGTCTTTGTATGGAAAAGGCTCTCATTTCTCGGGTAAATATCCAAGAGTGGAATGGCTGGGTCAGGCGGTAGTTGTTTAACATTTTGGAAACTGTCAAACTGTTTTCCAAAGTGTTTTTAAAATTGGACGTTCCCAGCAACAGTATATGAGCTCTAATTCCTTTACAACTGCATCAACAGTTCATATGGTCAGACTTTTTATTTAGACAATCTGACATGTGTGTAGCAGCACCTTGTGTTTTTTGTAATAGATTTTATTTTTTAGATCAGTTTTAGATTCACACCAAATTTGAGCAAAAAATACAGCCAGTTCCCACGTACCCTCTCCTACAAACACATGCACAGCCTCCTTCAACATTGACATTCCACACGAGAGTAATACATTTACTACAATCAAGGAGCCTCCACTGTCACATCATTATCACCCAAAATCATTAGCTTACGTTAGGATTTAGATTTACTCCTGGTGATGTACATTAGATGGATTTGACAAATGTATAATGACAAATATCCACCATTGTAGTAGCAGACGGAACAGTTTCACTGCTTTAAAAATCCTTGATGCCCCATCTAGGCACCACCCCCCCACCCCCCCATCCTCTGGTAAGCACTGATATTCTTACTGTTGCCATAGTTTTATCTTTTCCAGTATGTCATATAGTTGGAATTGAACAGTATGTAGCCTTTTCAGATTGGCCTCTTTCATTTAATAATATACATTTAAGTTTCTTTCATGTCTTTTCATGGCTTAATAGCTCATTTCTTTTTAGCATTGAATAATATTCCATTGTGCAGATGTACTGTGGTTTATTTATCCATTCACCAACTGAAGGATATCTTGGTTGCTTTCAAGTTTGGGCAATGAAAAAACTGCTCCATGTGGTTTTAATTTGCTTTAGTCTAATGACTAATTATTTTGAATACTAATTAGGTATTTGCCTTATGTATGTTATTTTTGAAGTGTTCTTTTTAAATCTTTTTCTGCCTTTGTTAACATCTTTATTAAGTCATAATATATTAACATAAACTATAAGCTAACATAAAATTAATCTATTTAATCATACTAACATAAAATTAATCTATTTTAACTGTACCGTTTAATAAAAAGGAGTTGTACAATGATCAAGAGAGATTTCTAGTACATTTCCATTGCTCCCAGAACTTCCCTCAAAATAAATTGTAGCCAATTGCTGCTCCCATCCTCAGTCCCAGGAAGTGCTCCAGTCCCACTGGTCTGCTTCATGTCTTTATAGTTCTGCCTTGTCTAGAAATTTCACATACTGGCAGGGCACAGTGGCTCATGCCTGTAATTCCATCACTTTGGGAGGCCAAAATGGGTGGATCACCTGAGATCAGGAGTTAGAGACCAGCCTTTAACATGGTGAAACCCATCTCTACTAAAAGTACAAAAATTAGCTGGGTGTGGTGGCGGGCACCTGTAATCCCAGCTACTTGGGAGGCTGAGGCAAGAGAATTGCTTGGACCCGGGAGGTGGAGGTTGCAATGAGCCAAGATCACGCCATTGCACTCCAGCCTGGGTGACAAGAGTGAAACTTTGTCTCAAAAAAAAAAAAAAAAGAAAAAAGAAAAAAAGAAAAAAGGAAAAAAGAAATTTCACATACATTGACTACCAAATTATGTAAGTTTTTATATCTGGCTTCTTTCACTTAGCATAATATTTTGAACCTAATGATTTTTTAGTATGTATTGTCTCTTTTATTGCAGAAAGTAATTCCACTATAAACCATATTTATTTGTCCATTCACCAGTTAATGTCCTTTTGAATTGGTTCCAATTTCAGCTATTTTGAATAAAACAGCTATGAAAATTCACAAATCTGTCTTTTTGTGAATATATAATTCCAGTTCTCTTGGGTATATAGGTAGGAGTGGATTCCCGATTTATATAGTAAGTCTTTACTTAATCTTAACAAGAACAACAAAATTGCCAAACAGCTTTCCAAAGTGACTGCACTAATTTATGTTCTCACCATCAATGTATAAGGGTGTCAAATTGTCTACCTCATTGACAACACCTAGCATTAAGTGTCTCTATGACTATAGTCATTCTAAAGGAGAGTGTAGTGGCATCTCATTGTAACATTTCCTTATGATTAATGATGTCAAACATTTTTTCATGTTCTTTTTTTGCCATTTGTATATGTTATTTTATAAAGTGTCTATTCATTGTTTGCCCATTATAAAAATCTACTTGGTCATGTTTTATCATTGATTATATTTGATTCTGGGTTTAGTTTGATTATATGTCATTGAGAAATTTTGTATATTTGTTCATTTAATCTCTTGATTTATTTGACTAGCTTTGTTCTCAGTGTAATGTTGGATTCATAGATTGAGTATAGAAGTGTCCCCTCCTTCTTGACTATTTTGAAAAAGTTTATGTAGGCTTGCTACTACTTATTTAAATATTCGATAGAAATTACTAACGAAGCATCTGGGGCTGCATTTTTTGTGGGAAGATTTTATTTACCATCTTCTTTTTTTTAAAAAAATGTGGGTACATAGTAGGTATATATACTTAAGGGATAAATTAGGTTTTTTCGTTTGTGTTTTTTTTTATTTCAACTTTTATTTTAGATACAGGGAGTACATGAACAGGTTTGTTACATGGGTATATTGCACCCGAATAATGAGCATAGCACCCAATAGGTAGTTTTTTTAATCACATCCCTTTTCCTCCCTCTAGTAGTCTGCAGGGTCTATTCTCAGGTTTATTTCCATGTGTGCACAATGTTTAGCTCCCACTTATAAGTGAGAACATGAGATATTTGGTTGTCTATTCCTGTGTTAATTCATTTATGATTATGGCCTCTGGCTCCATCCATGTTGCTGCAAAGACATGATTTCATTCTTTTTTATGGCGGCATTTTATTCCATGGTGTATATATGCCACAATTTCTGTATCCAATCCACCATCAATGCACACCTAGGTTGGTTTCATGTCTTTGCTATTGTAAACAGCACCGTGATGAACATTCAAGGGCATGTTTCATTTTGGTATTATGATCTATATTCCTTTGGGTATATACCCAGTAATGGGCTTACGGGGTTGAATGTGAATGGTAGCTCTGTTTTAACTTAAAGCAGAGTCTCATTATTATTTCTTTTAATTCTTTGAGTTCTGGGATACATGTGCAGAATGTGCAGGTTTGTTACATAGGTATACATGTGCCATGATGGATTGCTGCACCCATCAACCCGTCATCTACATTAGGTATTTCTCCTAATGCTGTTCCTCCCCTAGCTTCCAACCCACCCTACAGGCCCTGGTGTGTGATGTTCCCTTCCCTGTGTCTATGTATTCTCATTGTTCAACTCCCACTTATGAGTGAGAACATGCAGTGTTTGGTTTTCTGTTCCTGTGTTAGTTTGCTGAGAATGATGGTTTTCAGTTTAATCCATGTCCCTGCAAAGGACATGAACTTATCCTTTTTTGTGGCTGCATAGTATTCCTTGATACATATGTGCCATATTTTCTTTATCCAGTCTATCATTGATGGACATTTGGGTTGATTCCAAGTCTTTGCTATTGTGAACAGTGCTGCAGTAAACATACGTGTGCATATGTCTTTATAGTAGAGTGATTTATAATATTTTGGGTATATACCCACTAATGGGATTGCTGGGTCAAATAGTATTTCTGGTTCAAGATCCTTGAGGAATTGCCACACTGTCTTCCACAATGGTTGAACTAATTTACACTCCCACCAACAGTGTAAAAGCGTTCCTATTTCTCCACATCCTCTCCAGCATCTGTTGTGTTCTGACTTTTTAATGATCACCATTAAGGAAGCACTAAACATGGAAGGGAAAAACCGGTACCAGTCTCATTATTATATGTTGTGTTTTGGCCTTTTAAGAATAGAATTCTGTCTGGTGTGAGATGATATCACATTGTGGTTTTAATTTGCATTTCTACATGAGATATTTTAATACAGGCCTACAAAGTGTAATAATCATATCAAGGTAAATGGGGTATCCAGCACCTCAAGCACTTATCCTTTATTTGTGTTACAATCTAAGTAAACTATTTTAGTTGTTTTAAAGTGTATAATAAATTATTGTTTACTATAGTCATTCTGTTGTGCTATCAAATACTAGATCTTATTCATTTTAAATAAATTTTTACAAGCAATAACCATCCCCACTCTCCACCAACTATCCTTCTCAGCCCCTGGTAACTATCATTTTACTCTCTATCACCATGACTTCAATTGTTTTAATTTTTTTTAGCTCCCCCAAAAGGCCTAAGTTCTCTACAGTAAGTAGGTGGCAATTTCATTCAAACTTGTGTCATTCCTTTCAGGAAAGTGAGTTCTCCCTGGCCCCGGGTGGGTCCAGGGATGCTTTCCAAGAGCCAGAGCCCGGAGTTGGAAATCTTAGGCATCTACCTTGTGCTCTATTCTTTTGCAACTGAGCAGGCACCCAAGTCACAAGGCAAAGTCCTTCCCACTTTTCCCTTCCCTTTCTTCAAACAAAGGAGTCTCTTCCCATGGCCATCACTGCCTCAGGCCCATGGACAGTACTGCCAAGCTATCATTGCTGATTATTTACAGCCCAAGGGCTCTTGAATCAGCAGGTGATAAATTCTGCCAGGATTGGCTCCTTCTCTTAAATGTAGCGGGCTCCTTTCTGGGTCAGGATATATTTAGAAATGCTGTTTGGGAGTTACATCCTGGAATGGAAGCCTGAGGACTCTGCCTGGTGCCCCATTCTATCGTGGCTGAGCTGCTATTTAGGTTATAAGACAAAGTCTTCTTTACGCTCCCCTCTCTTCTCCTCACGCACAGGGAAGGATCCCTTGCAGAATCAGGAGCTGTGCTGCCTGAGACTGGTACAGGGGTGATGAAAGCACTCCCTTGGCCACTTCAGCTGGTATCTCAGTAGGTCACGTGCACACCAAATCCACTGGCTCTGAGCCTGGCACAGCACCAGGACTTGCATAGGAATTGGAGCCCTTGTGGCCTAGACAGCCTTTCAAGTTTATTTAGAACTCCAGAGCCCTTTAGCTTGTGGTGGCAGGGCTTGAAGGAACTCAGATTTTGACAGCTGTTGGCACCAGCTGAATTCTACCCCATGTTGTCTTCTGCTGTGTCAGGACAGCACTGAATTCCAATGCAAAATCCCACAATAACTGCACTTTCCCTTCCCCAAGCACACAAATTTTCTCTTTGCGCCTCGTAGCTGCTGCTGGGGGTTGGCGGGCAGGGGTGATATCGGCAGTTAAATACTGCTTTCCTATGGTCTTCAGTGACACTTTCATTAATATGATGTTAATAGCAAGGGCTGTGATTACTAACCTGACTTTTGATTCTTAGAAAGGTGCTTTTTTGTGTGGATAGTTGTTCAATTTGGTGCTCTTGTGGGGCAGATGATTGTTAGAGACTTCTATTAGGCTATCATGCTCTGACTCTTCCTCAGTTTTTCTACTTGTTATTGTCTATCAATATTTTCCATTTTTTGAGTCAATTATAGTGATTTCTGTAATTTTCTAATTTGTTGGCATGAAGTTGTTTATAATATTAATTCTTGCTGATAATCATTTTTTATTTTTCTGTAGTAACATCCTATACATTTTCATTGCTTTTTATTTTATATCTTTTTTCATGTACAATCTGCCTAAATATTAATGAATTGTGTTGATTTCTTCAAAAAGTAAATTATTGGCTTTATTGATATTCTCTATTCATCTGTTTATTTTTTAATTCCTTAAAATGTATTTAGATTTATTGTATGTCTTGACACATGTTCTATCCCGAATAACAGTCTACCTGCTTTCAAAGAGAAAGTATATTCTGCTGTTATTGAGTGAAGTATTTTGAAATTGTCTTTTCAAAATGGTAATAGTATTGTTGAAGATTTCCATACGCTTACTGATTTTCTTTCTAATTGTTCTTGAAATTATCAAGAGGACTATATTGATATCTTCAGTAATTGTTAAACTGCCATTTCTTTGTTCACCTCTATCAGTTTTTGCTTTATATGGGTTGGGATGTGTTAGATTTAAATATTTTACACTTATATATTCCTGATGTATAGAATTTTCAGTCATTTTGAAATGTCCTTCTTTTTTCTCTTACTATATCTTACCTAAAATATGTATTTTATGATATTAATACAGCCATTCTGGGTTTTCTTTAAGGTTACTGTTTGCATGGTATATCTTTCTATAGTTTTTTTACTTTCTCCATTTTCTGCCATTGAATTTAAAATATGTCTCCTCTTAATAGCAAGCAGTTGTATTTCTTTTTATCCATCAATCTCTACCTTTTGATGGATTACAGTTTTAAGTCTATCCACATTTAATGTAATTATTTATCTGTTTGGACTTACATCAACAATTTTGCTGTTTGTTTTCCATATTTCTTTCATGTTTATTCCTTTTTCTTCTTTACTTTCTTATTCTATGTTAAAAATTTTATTTTAATATGTTAATTCCTCTATTAGTTTTAATAAATTTATTGGACCAAAGCTAATGTTTACTATTTGAAATACCATGTTTTTATATAATTTGTCCTTTCTTGAAAGTTGTTTCAGGAAACTTTCCTATTTATCTTGGCTGGAAATAGACATCTCTTCACTAGACTTTATTGTATATGTATCATGAAAGTTATGAAAATTTCATGTTGAAAAGAACTTTCCACAAAAGTTTTTTAAAAAATCTTTGTAGACTATAGAATCCTCAGGAACATATAGATTTCCTTTATACAGTACTAGTTGTATGTATGATATCCAAATACACTGTAAACCTTATAACACAATTGTATGTTTTCTAACATGTACCACACATATTTAACACATATATAATATTTGTGCTTTCTAATGCCCATACTTCCTCCCTTCATTCTTTCTTTTTCTTCCTTCCTTCTTTTCTTTTCTTTTCTCTTTCTTTTTCTTTCTTTCTCTTTCTTTCTTTTTTCTCTTTCTTTTCTTTCCTCCCTCCCTTCCTTCTTCTTTTCTTCCCCTTCCTTCCTTCCTTCTTCTTCCTTCCTTCTTTTCTTCCTTCCTTTTCATTTTTTCCTCTAATGGACTAAATTTATTTCCTCTAACGATCCAAATCCCATGTCTGGGATTACAGACGTGAGTGAATGGGCCCAGCCCAAACCTTCACCTTCTAAGGGCACTGAGATGAACAGACCGATTGGCTTGAGAGTGGGCAAAGGGGTGTAGGCTAGGTTATAGGGAAGGGTTACCTAATTCCTAGCTATGTGCCTAAGTTCCACGGCAAGATTATTAATAGCAGAACCAGACCAGAAACTGCTAAAGAACATGGCCTGCTTGACATGTTCATGAGTCACCTGACCCACAGCATATATGCTTATTATGACTGAACCCTCCACACCTGATTCTCTAGAGTATATCACCTGTCAGCAAAATGAACAGTGGAATATTTTGGGCCATTTTGAAATGTGAAATTTTGCCTCTTTAATAATATTAATTCAAAACTATATCATGTTTTCTAGTCCCCACCTCTAACCCTAGGAAAAAAGATAAAATACTATGCAAAGAAAGTTTAAATTTACTTTTCTTTAAGGTTCAACTCTACAATGACTTTCAGTCAGAAATATATTAAACTGGAAAATGTTTTCGTTCCTGTTGTAAAAAGATGATCCTAGGAGAGGGTTTTTTTTTTAAGTTACTTTGTTTATTCTATTTCTAAATCTTAGTCTTCCATATTTCTAGAGACCATCTGACACAAGTCCTTTTACTCTGAAGTCTAGCATCTCAAGCCTGATCTGGAAGTGTGCTCCCTAGGGCATAACTTCATCCTTCTAATACAGTTTAATCATTTCTATCTTGTTCTCAGAAGAAGGGAAGGTGGTTGCAACCAGGCATAACATAGCCACTGTGTGCATATAGGGCCTCTTCACGTTAGTGCTTCGCATTCCATCAGCTTTCTCTAATTCCGTACTCAAGTCCGGCCTTAAAATTATGTTAGACAACAGTGAAATATATATGCCTATTTCACTGGTATATTTCACTTCCATAAGAATAATTTTCTTTCACATTTCTTTCACAGCCACTCTGCTGGTGACAAATTCTCTTCACTTGCCATTTTTTTTTCATTATTCAATTAGAGTTTTAGACTATTTGCATAAAATGCAATTATTTATATAGGGTTCTGAGTCTCATAATAATGTTTTGATTAAAGATGAATCTCTTATATAATGATGGTTCCATAAGTTTCTAATGTAGCTGAAAAATTCCTATCTAATGATGTCATAACCATTGTAATGTCATAGTGCAACACTTATGCATTTTTGGCCACGCTGTTGTAAACAAACCGATTGTATTGTCAATCATATAAAAACATAGCACATACAATTTTGTGTATACATAATACTTGACAGTGATCATAATGACTGTTTTACTGATTTATGTATTATGATACCATACTTTATGTTGTTATTTTAGAGTGTACTCCTTCTACTTATAAAAATAAATTGTAAACTGGAAAACAGCCTTAGGCAGGTTCTTCAAGAAGTACTCCAAAAGAAGGTATTGTTATCATAGGAGGTGATAGCTCCAAGTGTGTTATTACCTGTGAACACCTTCCAGTGTGACAAGATGTAGAGGTGGAAGACAGGGATACTGATGATCCTGACTCTTTGTTGGCCTAAGCTAATGTGTGTCTTGGTGATTTCATTTTAACAAGAAATAGTTTAAAATGTAAAAAGCAAAAAAAAAAATTAAATTAAAATGGAAGAAACATAGAATAAGAATATCAAGAAAGAAATTTTTTTTTGTACAGCTGGACAATGTGTTTGTGTTTTAAGTGTAAGTATAAGTGTTATTACAAGTGAGAGTTGAAAGTTGAAAAAAATAAAGTTTTTAAAGTAAGAAATTACTATAGGCTAAGGTTAACTTATTATTGAAGCAAGAATTTTTTAAAATAAATTTAGTGTAGCCCAAGTGTAGAGTGTTATAAAGTCTACAGTAGTGCAGAGTAATGTCTTAGCCTTTCACATTCACTCACCACTCACTCACTGACGTTCCCAGAGTAACTTCTAGTTCTACAAGTCCATTCCTTACAAGTACCCTATACAGGTGTACCATTTTGTTATCTTTTATTCTGTATATTTACTGTGCCTTTTTAATGTTTAGATATGTTTGGGTGCACAAATACTTACCATTGTGTTACAATTGCCTACAGTATTCAGTACCCTAACAGGCAGTGCTGGTTTGTTGCCTAGAAGTAATAGGCTATCCCATATAGTGTAAGTGAGTAGTAGGCTACTCCAATTAGGTTTGTGTAAGTAAACTCTATGATGTTTGCACAGCAACAAAATTGCCTAACAATGAATTTCTCAGAACGTATCCCCATCATTAAGCAACATATGACTATAATCGTATTTAGGTCTTTCACTTTATGATTTGTTTTCTGTCTGTTCCTTATATTTTGTCTTTCTCTTTTCTTTTTCTTGCTATCTTCTGGAAGATATGAGTCTTTTTAGTCTCCTATTTCTAAGTATATTTAATATTTTTTACTATTCCATTTTCATTTCTTACAGTTTTTTTTTTAACTATATGTCTTTTTTTTATTCTTTGTTTCCCTCTACATACATTCTGGAAAGATTTTTTCCAGCATTTTAAAAATGTCAATTCACTTCCTTCATGCCTCCATGGTTTCTGATGAAAAATCCACAATTATTTGAACCATTGTTTCTCTATAGATTTAATGCATCCTTTCTTTGTAATTTATTTTAGGATTTTTTTTCTTGTATTTGTTTTTTAGTAGTCTGATTATTATCTGTCACTTGGGCAGAAATTTTTTGAATTTATTCTGTTTAATTCTCTGATCTTCTTGAATAAGCTTCTGTCTTTTATAAAAACGGATACGTTTTTACTTACTGTTCCTTCACATACATGTATTTCTTTAGCATCATGCATCTTCCCTCACTCCTGGGATCCTAATTACAGAAGTGTTGGACCTTGCTTATATTGTCCCACAGTTCCTAGGGTTCTGTTATTTTTTTTTTTAATTTTTCCCTATCTGTTCAGTTTATATCAATACTTTTGTTTATTTTCAGCTTCATTGACTCTTTATTTTGACCACCATTCTGCTGTTTAACTCCAATGAATTTTTCATTATTCTAAATGTATTTTTGGTTCTAATGTTACTATTTTTAAAACCTTTATATTATCTAATTCTTTTTTGAGTTTTTTCTCTTTCCGTTTGTTTCAAGAGGATTTACCCTTACTTCTCAGAGTATGGCTATGATAGCAGCATTCACAACCTTTATGACAGTTCCAACATTGTTGCCATCTTCAACTATCTTTTTTTCCTTATGTGTTGGAATTATCCTTGTTTTTGTGTGCCACAAATTTTGGATTGTATGTCAGACATTTTGGATATTATGTTATGAGATTCTGGGTCTTTATTTAAATCTAAAAATGAATGTTCTTTTGTCAATTTTTTTTTGAAGGACAAAATCTGTCAGACTGGATTCAGACAACAAGCTCTCATGTCCCTTCATAGTGTGTGGTTTTGATGTCAGTTCCGTTTTTGTAATGCTATACTATTAAAAAAAAAGTACTATTCAGATCTACTTAGTGTGCCAACTAAGGGTACAGCTCATTCCTCTGTGTGCCAACTAAGATGTGCCAACATCTACCATGTAGCTCGCTTCTCAAGACCTATCATCTACTGTTTAGGGTCGGATCTATGCATGTTGGGCTCTGAGGTGAACCCAGGAGTTTGTACACGACTTTATGAAATTGCTCTCTTGAGCTCTCACCAATCTGCAAGCTTCCTGACATTTTCTGGTTCCCTAAAGGCTTCTCTTCCCAATTTCCGGACCAAAAGGCTGGGCCTTTAGATTCTCCACTCTATAGCATTCTGGTGTTTTTGTTTTGTTTTGCTTTGTTTTGTTTTTTTCCTTCCCCGTACCTCTGCTGGATACAGAGAGGGATTTTTCTTTGGAATCTCGGTGCCTATCAGCAGATGCTGACTTCAACTCTCAACTACAGTAAGATTTCATGGGGCGAGTTCAGGAGAGAATGGAAGGAAAAAAGGGTGAAAAATCTCTACAAAATTTTCTCCACATGGTTTGACTCTTAGAGCCTCCATTTCTGCTCCTTAGAATAGAAAGAGAGGGATTCTATTGAGACTTTTTTCTGTTCTCATTTAGTGTACACTCTGAGATTTGGGGCTGCCTTTGAGTCTAGGTTGAGAGATACCAGAAGAAAACATTTAATACCAATTTGACAGTATTTCATATTCTGGCATAGATCTCAATCTACCTACAACCAAATTTACCTCTCAGGGTCCTCAGATAGCTGCTTTGTGCAATATATTTAATGAGAGGACAGGATGGAGTGAGCTTCCTCTATATGGAATTGGATGAAGCTTCTTTCAGCACCAGAACTGCAACGCTTAGCCCCTATCGAAGAAAGCCCTCCCCAGTATCATCTCTGGAGTAAGGATATTTAGAATGTTTCAAGAACTAGCTGAATTAAGTGCTTACCCTTCCCCCCATCATTGTATCAATTATTAGAGTAAATAGGATTCTGACAGTTTTAAAACAAAAAATGAGAGCTAGTGGTGGTAGCAGGAATAAACCATACACTTTCTGGTTAATAGAGAAATCAGAATACAATTTCTAAAACTGAGGAGAAAGGAGAACTTAGCTTAAGAATGACCTATAAATAATACAAACATCTCTACCTTGCAGGGGTTTGGTTGCTCCCACTGCATACACAAATAAGAATGATTGCTTAGAAGGTAAAGTTGTAGAGAGAAACTTGTTGGAAAAAAATATGGTCAGAATGATAATAAATTCAAAAGTTAGGGAGCTGAGCGGCTGCACTTTCCCTTGATGATAGGCTTTTTCCATGATACTTGTATTTTGGCAATTGTATTTTTTCAGTGCACATGAAATTCTAAATATGCTCATGATTAAATTATATGATTCACCATAGCATTTCCAAACATTTTCCCCTACATTAGCCTAATAAGTTGTGAGAGTTACAAAGTGAAAGTTTCTGTAATAATGTTTACGTTTTACTTTTTTAGAGATTCACAAAGCACATTACTGTTATAAGTGTTCAGAGAAATCATTAACTAAATCATTAAACTTTGTTGAACCTAGTGTGCTCTAATTTTATTAGACCAGAAAAGTCTTCTTTTGTCATTTAATACTTAATAAATTAAAATAAACTAGTTTTTTTCTGGAATACACTTGAAGATTTATATTGCTGAAACACAGTTGAGAATATGTGTTCTACATTAATTGAGGGGATTTCATCTTTAATTTGATAATTTATGTTAACATATGAGCAACATAAAAATAATATCCCACCAGGCAGTTTGAAAAGATTCTACCATATCCATAGTTTCACTAAAATTTCAGAATATGAGACTTTGGAAATTAATACAAACACTGTCATTGATACAATTGGCAAGAGCAATAATTAGAAAGAATGATATAAATTGCATAACTATTAATGTCTGTAGATTTGCTCTTTCAATCAGCCAATTGGTAAGAATAAATCTCATAGTTCTGCTCGTCTCACCTTGTCTAGACGATTGATCAATTTTCTTTGAATTTTTAATCTTTTATTTGTAACTATTTCTAGATTCACAAAATAGTTACTGTACTAGTCAGGGTTCACCAGAGAGAAGGAGCCAATAGGATAAACACACACTCACACATCACACACACACACACACACACACACACAAATTGTTTAAAAGTATTGACACATGATTTACGGAGCCTGAGAAGGCCCATGGTCTGCTGTCTACAAGCTGCAGACCAGGAAGGCTACTAGTGGCATAGTTCAAAGGCTCGAGAGCTAGTGAGCCAAAGATGTAGATTTCCATCTGACTCTGATGGCCTAAGAATCAGCAGTACCAAGGGCAGGAGAACATGGATGTGTCATCCCAACAGTCAAGCAGAAAGCAAAATCAATCTTCCCTCATCTTTTTGTTTTATTCAAGCCTTCAAGGAATTTGAGGATGACTACACCCACAAGAGGAAGGGCCATCAGCTCTACTCACTTCACCAATTTAAATGTTAATATATTCTGGAAACACCCTCACAGGTACACACACACACAAAAAAATGTTCAATCATGAATATTCCATGGCCCAGTTGAGTTGACACATAAAATTAACCATCATAATTACAAACATGGTGTAAAAAATGACCATACACTTGTCAGTCAGCTTTCCCTACTATGAACATCTAGCATTAATATTGGCACAGTATTATTAACTACAGACTTTATTTGGATTTCTCAAGTTTTTCTACTAATATATGTTTTTAGGTTCCTGAATAGTACTCAGGATACCACATTGCATTTAATTATCATGTCTCCTCAGCCTCTCTCAATTTGTGACAGCTCCACAATCTTTGTTTTTCATGACTTTGATGCTTTTGAAGAGTACTAGTCAGATTGTACAATTTTATGTATCATTTTAGGGATTATAATCTAATGCTCTCATTATTTTGTTGCCCATATTACGCCAGCTTTGGCCATTTGGAGATCTTCCCAGATGGCTCTTTATCTCAGGATAAATGATAACCTGTATCCTTTTCACATGCACCCATCCTCCGGGTTTTTTATTGTTTGTTTTTGTTGGCTGTTGTTGCTTTTGTCTATGTATTTTTTAAAAAATCGTTTCCTTACCTGATGGACCCATAAACATTTGGCCTCATTTTGACCTGTCATAAAAAATTTATCTAAATCTAGCTAAAGGTCTTAGTTTTGCAAACTAATGCCATATTTTTCTGCTAGTAAATAAACAAAAGCAATTTTATTGTTCAGCAACCTTGCATTCAGCAACTTAAGCCTCTTTTGCTGAGCTTATATTACAGCAACACTACCATTTGCAATTATTGTTATGATTATCACAATATTTTGTATCTCATATAAAAACCATTTGTCAATGGTTTGTGCGTTTTGTGATTGTGGAAGCTGGTTAAGCAAATCCCAAATCAATAAGGCCAGTAGTCAGGAAGGAATATTATGAATAGTACAGAACTCTACCAGCATGAACTGAAGGTATCATCCACAGGTGAACTTTCTTCTTTTCTTAGAAAAGCCACAGCCCTGCTTCCAAGGAATTTCAACTTATTAAATCAGGCACACCCATATTACCTAGGGCAATTTTCCTCACTAAAAGTTAAGTAATTAGATATTTTAATTACACCTGTAAAATCTTTTTTCAGCAATACTCAAATAACATGTGATCAAGTAACTGGAGACTGTATGTTAGTCAAGTTGACACATCAAGAGTCATCACAATGCATGAGTTGTTATAATCACCATTCTGTGCACTAGATTACAAAAGCTTATTGTAACTGAAACTTTGTACCTTTTGATCACCATCTCCCCTTATTCCCTTCCTAAACATCCCTTCTCTTAACCATCATTCTACTCTTTATTTTAGTAAGTTTAACTTTGTCAAATTATACATGTAAGTGAGACTGTACCTGTCTTATTTCTCTTAGCATAATATCGTCCAGGCTCATCTATTTTGTCACAAATAATAGAATTTCATTCTTTTTTAAGACTAAATAGTATTCCATTGTGTGTGTGTGTGTGTGTGTGTGTACATACCACATTTTCTTTATTCATTGATGGATACCTAGATTGCTTCCAAATCTTAGCTATTGTGAATAATACTGCAATGAGCACTGTATTGTATATTATAAAATGGCTAAATAGTAAATTTTAAATGTTTTCACTATAAAAATAAGAATGCAACATGATGGTTTGTTAATTAATATGATTTAATCATTCCAAATTGTAAACATATATCAAAAAATCATTTTGTATGCTGTAAGGATATGCAATTAATTTTTTTTTTAAAAAAAGCCTCCACAACCACTAACTTGAATATTATTTCAACCTCTCCTTGTCTTACGTTTTCTAATTTTAGTATAGCTTTAGAAAAAAGATCAATACTTTGAAAATATGAAATATTTTTTCCGGAAATCATTGAAATTGTCTTATTTTAAAATTATATGATCTCAGATTACTCTCTAAATGTCATTTAACATTGAAACTAGAGTTATAATGAGTGGATATACAGAAAGGTGGAATTTCTTCAAAGATATGTTGTTAGCTTTGAGCTTAAGGACTCATGTTTAGCATCAGCAGACAGTGTTAACCCATGATTTAAAAAAGTTGTAAGGTGCAACACAGGGATAATTATGAATAGAGTCAGTGCTAAAAAGATTGTGATTGAACTCTAAAATTTTAAATAAAGAACTTGAAAATCATATTCAATCTAATTTGGAAGGTATTTCCTTATTAAAGTAAACTTTAGTGTATTATACTTTGTTATACATTAATTTCCTTGGAATACTACAGATTTTGAAGAATCTTAGAACCAGAAGTGCAAAATTTAGGAAGGATAAATTAAATATGTCTATGATTTCCCACTAGGTCTAAATCCAAGCATGATTTATGGATCTTTAATCAGTTTTCTAAATTAAATTTACATGAGTCCTAAGGTGTGATTGAGAAGTGTTTTTAATAGATATTTTTCTTAAAATAGGAAATATCTTTACACTAGCTTGAAAACAGAAAGTTTAGATCAAATCAGTGACAGAAGCACAGGGAAATACTTTGGTAATTTTCTCTTTAGCGCTTTGAAAGCTACTTTCTAGGACAACTTCTAAGTGGGGAGCTCTAGATTTTTTTTTTTTTTCATTTTTCACGAAGGAACTTAGCTGACATTTTCCTGCTTCTCTGGCCAAAGTAATCTGTTTCAACTGCCTGACAAAAGGTGAATCTGTGTAGGTAAGAAGGAAGAAAGACTCAAGTGGATGTGATGTTTCTATCATTTCTTGAAGTTTCCTGTCAATATCATCTAACTGAATTATTTGTATCACAAATACCTGAAGTGCCTGTTAAAAACTCAAATTCCTAGGTTCCAACTCAGACTACAAAATCATCATAGTGGGACACTGGATAATCTCCTGTGCCCTTAATTTTAAGAACTGCTGCCTTTAGGTAAAATTATTCCATAATGTAAGGCTTCAAATGCTTAAACTTTTACAAAATACAAACTACAAAATGCATTTTTGAGTATTCTTCAGGAAAATAATAAGAGAAAAAATCATTTAAAAGTACACATCAACTAGTTTAGGTCATTCGAATTAATCACCCTGGGAAGGCTTCCTACCCTCTCCCGTCAATTGAACAACTTATTTAAGGAGCTCTGTCAGATACAATCCGCTTTACTTTACTTTGTCCCCCGCTGATACCGTTTTACAGGGGATTGCCAACATGCTGAGTGCCTGAAGGATCTAAACTCAGATTACAAAAGCAAACCCTGAATCCATGCTCTCTCGAAGGTAGACTCCTACCTGTTACAATACCAAGTGCTTAGGAGTGAGTCCAATAAGAGTGACACCACCTTGCAACTATTTCTTTTTATGAGATGTTCTTAATGCTGAGCCTCAGGAAAAGATTCTCGTGGACAGATTACAAGTGTTCAAAAGCTTGCTAGAGATCATAGCACAAAGCCATGCTGCGTACACATTCTGCAGCCAAAATTTCAAGTCTGGGTATGACCTAGAGATGAGAGGATAATTCAAATAGTGTCTTGTCCCATCCCGACCCCTATCAAATAATTGTTTCACTTTACTCTTGCTAAGGATCTTTTGAGCAGCGTTTAGATGCTATTTCTATAACTACAGGGCAAGGTAAATCCCTCTCATGGAGATAACTGTCCCAGATACTTTGCTATTTATGTCTGGAGTTTAAAACTTGAATTAGAAACTTTCATTTGTTTTCTTGCTGTTTGAAGACTGAAGCCAACTAATACGCTGTCAAAATGACTTTATAATGCAGCAGGCTGAGAAGCCTAGTCTGAAACCTATTATAGAATGGTATGTAACTGAATTTTAAAATTCACAGCCACTCACTGCCTGACTGTAAAGGAAACATGGTGAGTTCCGTTGGAAATGTTGTCGGCAGCCAAGCCTTTCCTCACATTTCCTCTCCAGAATCTCATCCCTGGAAAATTTACAGTCTTATCAAAGCCACTCATGCCATATTACCTGAAGTAGCTCAGGCAATACAATTTCTAATTAGGAAAGATATATTACAAACAAGACAGAGCTAACAAAGTATTGCTTCTTGCCAGTTTATAATTAAGGGTCCTCCCACCACCAGCTCATATGCAAGGCTTTTTATTTTCCTCTGTGCTGAGTAGATTTTGGAGAGCTCACACATGCATTCTACCTTACCTTTTATTCTTAAACAATCCAATAGTTGATTAAATTCAATACTGTTAAATATACTATGACCGATTCAGCAGACACAAAAATAATAAAAATAAGTCCTCAAAGATCTTACTTTTAAAATTGTGTGAGGGAAAACTCAGTAATTACGAAGAGAATGTAATGCTATATATTGTGTCTCAAAGGAGGAAAAAGTATCATTGAGGTTCATATGCACACTATGACTTTCATATCATCAGAACTGATCCCAGCTTCCTCAAGGTGACCAGAAAAATACAAACTCAGAAAATAATAAAAATATAGGTGTTTATATTTAGAGTAATAAAAGGACTTACAATTTTAGCACAATAATATCAAATCATAGTACATCAAGTTTGAGAGTATCTGTAAGAAGATATTTTATGATTGAACTTTGTGAAATAACTTAGCCTCTCAAGTTATGGAGACAACACAGTCTAGAGTTTAAGAAGATGTACAGTGACAAAAGTCATAGTACTATTCCAAGTTACCTTAAGTCAATTACTCTAGGTACCTTGAGTCAATTACTTTATTTTGAAGCCTCAGTTTCTACATCATTAAAAGGGTAAAATGATAGTAAAGACTGAATTAAATGACAGAGAAAAGACTAGTGGCAATTTCTAGGGTTTGTTTCAAATGCTTAACATACAAATACGTGTGTGCATACACACAGTCTTTAAAAAGCTTGGTGTCTGCCATCCTAAATATTTGGAAAGCATAACTACTCTGAATTTGTCCAAGGAAAACCTCTAATCTCAGAGCAAAGAAATACGGGGAAATTTCTCATAAAGTAATAAAGAACAATAATATATTTGCTCTAGATTGGGTCACAAGTACAAATATCTATTGTTCACTTGCAAGTAAAATAAAGGAGTGAGGTGGACCACCACAAGAGAAATATGTTGATTCCCATTCTTCTTGAAAACTACAGTCTTATAGGTCTATCTTCTGTCTTTTATCTTGTGACAGAGACGTAGTACAGATAATGTTACTCTACCGTAAAAGAGCAATAGAACAAGGAAAACAATAAATGGCAACTGATACTCCATTGTGATGTTGGGAAGATAAAAGACAATGATGGGAACCATGTTAATTCAGACACATTATGTCCCTTCCAAAATGAGCCGCTGTTACTCAGATCTTGACAACTCTTATCCTGTGGAAATACAGATCTGGTGTTAGCAGATTTTTCAAGATAAGTTGGAAATCTAAATTTTTCTATAAAAGCTACTGGTTTAAATATTGAGTTAAACAAAATATACCAGTTCACACACATTCTGCTGAGCAGATGCATCTGTGGAAATTCCCATAAGACATCTGTGCTATTGTTCTATCTGTTGCAATAATAAATGTGTGTGTTCAAGTCTTATCTATGTATGTTACTACTAAAGGCAAAAGGCAGCAGGAAACACCTAAGTTTTTTGCTGCTTAATTCCTGCTACTCACTGTTTGCCCCAAAATCCAGATAAAAATCAGAGGAGCAATGTTATCACATTTGCATGACCTGTGAAAATTTGCATGCTACCTATAATTTGGTCTAATGACTTTAAATCTCAGCTCACATTAAAACTACCCAAGTTTTCTGTATTTTTATTAGTTGAAAATAGTCAGGATATCATTGTTATTTTAAAACCTTCTCTGAAAAATTGTATTACAGAGTTGCCTATAACTTCTCTAGTTTGGACTTATCCTTTTATACATAAGAATATTGAAGAAAAGAAGAAATAATATAGATATAATGGACTTTTTTTTTTTTTATGATATGGAGTTTCGCTCTTGTTGCCCAGGCTGGAGTGCAATGGTGCAATCTCGGCTCACTGCAACCTTCGCCTCCTGGGTTCAACTGATTCTCCTGCCTCAGCCTCCTGAGTAACTGGGATTACAGGTGCCCGCCACCATGCCCAGCTAATTTTTTGTATTTTTAGTGGAGACGGGGTTTCACTATGTTGGCCAGGCTGGTCTTGAATTCCTGACCTCAGGCGATCCACCCGCCTCGGCCTCCCAAATTGCTGGGATTACAGGAGTGAGCCACTGAGCCTGACAAACTTGTCTTTTTATACATAAGAATATTGAAGACAAGATGAAATAATATAGATATAATGGACTTATCTTTTTACACATAAGAATATTGAAGACAAGAGGAATCATATAGATATAATAGCCATTATATACTAATTCCACACTGTCTCCAATACTATGTGCTAAGTGATAGGGTTGGTGTATGGCTGCTGAAGGAGCCTCTATTAGTCTAGAGTTAAATTTCCAGACATTATGGGTTTGCCTACTACTATGGGCCTTCTAACTTTGCATAAATTATACAACGAACCGAAACAAAACAACTGTTGGAGTTATGGGCTTTATCTTCTTACATTATCTCAATAGCAAAATGTCAACCCTATAAATTATGTTGAAGGCTACAATCTATGGGCTTGCTGTGTCAGGTGAAACACTAACATGTAGCTGAAATCACTGCCAAATACATCATTCTATTTTGGCTGACAACTATAGTGGTCCTGTTGAATCAAGTCCCTTTGTATTTAAAGTGCTGCATCTCTTGTGTAATGTAATGGGGGTTGGAACTCTTAGTTTTCTTCTTAGTTTTCTTCTTAGTAAACTCATCGGAGGAAAAGAAAAAAAACATGATCTGGTTAGAAAAAAATATATAAGACCAAGGTGTAATCCAGACTCTTCAAGAATCACAAATTGGCACAGACACTTAGAGTAGTACCTTATACAATATAGTACCTCAAACTAAAAAAAAAAAAAGAAAAAAAAACTTGCAATTATATTATTATTTCTAGCATTAAGTTTTCTCATTCATAAAAATTGCTTTAGAACAGCATGTGGAAAGAGTAAATTTTTATTATTTAAAAACATTTTATATGAGTTTAGAGCAAACACAACTTTTTCTGTGAAGGCCAGAGAGTGAATATCTAAGGCTTTGCAAGCCAGATGGTTTCTGTTGCAACTATTCAACTCTGCCATTATATTGGGAAAGCAGCCATAGGTGAATTAATATATAAACAAATGAGTGTGGCTCTGCTCTGGTCCAGTAAAACCTTATAAAAGCAGGCTGCAGACTGAATTGGACCCATGGATTATAATTTTCCAACCACTGTTGTAGTTAATAAATGCTTCCCAGTTTCTGAATATTGATTTAATTAGCCATAGATATGTATCCCTAACAATAACAGTGATTCTCATATTATTCAAAATAAAAATAAAATAGGCAATATGCATAATTAGTAAAGTAAAATGGTCAAATTAAATCTATTTATAGTATTTTGGTGAGCTCATAAGCTAATAATAGAGAAAATAACATCCCACAAGAAGTTGCCAAAAATGTTTTTTCCTCGATAACTTACTCAGTTTGGAAAAAGAAGGCTCAGCCTATTATTTTTATTCCAGTGACTAAAATTAGCCAAAACAATGAGAAATAAAAATAAAAGTCACAGACATATTATACTGTAATGGATGCTCATTAAAATCACCTCATTTCTCTTGATTCCCAGCCTAGTTATTAAGCTGATCAATTTTTAATAAGATTTCATTGAGACTGGGATTCCCACTTCATCAATTTCTCAATTTTATAAGACATTAATCCTTACGCATATTTTACCATTTATACCAGTACTGAATAATACGTGCCACAGCATATACACCTGTCTACACAATCCTCTACTAAACAGATGCAACACCTGCTGGTGAACATTGTTTAGGAGGATCTCGCTAACTCAAATTGTGATCCATGAACCAACAACATGTATGTCACCTGGGATCTTGTTAGAAAGCAGAATACTGAATCAGAATCATGTACCTATTAAAATTTAAGAACCACTGCTTATGACACACTCATAAAATATGCTCTGAGCTATGCAATAGAAATCTAAGATGACTTTATGATCTTATGTTTGTTTTAATTAGGAATTTATCTCATTTGCTCTTACAATTAGGGACATACACCTTGGCTAAGACTACAAAATGAATCTAACCAAATGGGGAAAATATTTGCTAGGCAAGAAGATAAAAATATACAATTGAAACGTTATATGTTTCAAACGACTGCTGTTATATAATATTGAGGGAATCATTGTGCTCATGTAGTTAGTCTTACTATACAGTGCATTGGCCCAAGTTTTATTATTGTTGTTGATTTTTATGCTAACAATAAACATGTGAATGTTCTACAAGTGGAAACTGCCCAAAGAGAGGAATATTGACTGTGGAATGAGAGGACTAGAATAGAGGATGAGGGCTACATTTACGTTAGAAAATCTTCTGTATTCCCCTTAACAGTCAAGTCAACAAAACTTTCTTTCAAACAATAGATAGCCAACCCCCCTTTAAGAGCCCAGATATCATTTTAGAATATTACCCAGAGTAGACTACTTTGATTCTGATGCAGATTCTCTCTGAGTTACACATTGATACTAGGAGACTTACATGCTTTCATTATAGACCAGTGACCCTCAAAGTAGGTGGATGTGCACTTCCCAATAGGTGTGCTGGGTGATCCATAGGAAGCAGGAAAATATTAAGATTATATTTCTAAATATTTCCTTGACTCATATTGATTTACCTTCTCTTTTTATATTACTGATTAATATAATATCATGCACTAATACCTAAATTGATATTAAATAAATATACATGTATCAGAGATTCAGATTCTTTTTCTTTTTTTACTTACAGTATTATGTTCAAAATATGGAGTCCTTCAGAGCAGAAAAACAAGAAAGTCTCAAGACAGCTATCTATCAAAATTTACTTCTATATTTATGAATTTGTGTATATATATAACCTGTATATGAGGACAAAGTTAAAAAGCATTTATTCTTTAACAAAAATGATCAATATTTTGGTATTTTATTGTTTCATTTAGAAATCTAGTTTTGTTGCCCAGGCTGGAGTGCAGTGGCATGATCTCGGCTAACTGCAACCTCTGCCTCACAGGTTCAAGCAATTCTGCCTCAGCCTCCCAAGTAGCTGGGACTACAGGCGAGCACCACAACACCTGGCTAATGTTTGTATTTTTAGTAGAGACAGGGTTTCACCATATTGGCCAGGCTGGTCTCAAACTCCAGACCTTGTGGCCAGGCTGCTCTCAAATTCCTGACATCGTGATCCACCCGCCTCGGCCTCCCAAAGTGCTGGGATTACAGGTAAGAGCCACTGCACCCGGCAGAAATCTAGGTTTTTAGGGGAGCATTATTTTCTTACATTATATAATGTAAGAGCCACTGACGTCATTTGGTACAAAAATCTGGATTTATAATTCTTATAATAAAAAACCCAAAAGGCCACTCTTTCTATAAGCAAGTGCTATTGGTTGCAATCAAGATGACGTATAGGATCTTAAATGAGTAAATATAGTCATTTTCACACGTACAACATATAATTAAATTCACTTTGACTCCTATTATCCTCCCTAGATGCTTATTCTTTTTTATTATGTAATGAGTCAATAAAGTAGTCTTCAATTTATTTTTCCAATGTTTCTATACTAGCTGTCAGTTTCAGATATAAATTGAAAAGCTTTAAAATAAGTTTCATCCTTAACTGTCCTAACTGCTATGCATGCCAAAATACTTGCTAAACTGAAGTCAGTAACTGCCTTAAATCTGTTCCTTCTGAATATGTAGCTGAATTTTATAAATTTAATGTTTAAATTTAATGGAAATAAATACAGATGCTTTTAAATAAAACAAAAAGTGCTATTTTGTGCTTTGAAGAATGTGACAGGAATGAAGCATGATAAATTTGATCAATTTCAACTGCCCGCATCCTTGTTGTTCTGTGTTTATAAGCATTAAAGATAACTTTTCCACACTTACAATATTGAAATTTCTATTAAAAAAGGGTTGATCAACAGTTTTGTTTGATATATGTACATCAGCCCAAGACACATGCCTACAATTAACTCTACTTTCAGAACAGTAAGACTACAATAATGCCCAATAATTGGATTTGTAGAGATGTTGGCAGTTTCAAAGTACCTTAGTAAGTTTCTTAGAAATTTTTAGCAAAACCTTTATGAGGTAGTTTGACTAGAATTAAAACAAATACAAATGCCCTTTGGTGAATTTCAATCAAAGGTAGAAAATAATCCCACTGAAATCCTAAAGATCAGGATCATACTGGCTATTAGCATAATTTTGGAACTTTTCATTATACTTCAACAAAATCATGATACACATACTGCTCTGAACTATTTTAGCTTTAATTTTCATGTTTTTTTTTATATCCCCTATTGCATTTTAGGCTATTAGTTTTGTACCTGTTTATCCATTTACATAAAATAGTCTCCTATAATTGAGGTTAATACTATATTTAGATACCTATATATGTGCATTCATAAATACAGTTTTATACAACAGGGGTCCCCAATCCCTGGGCCATGGATTGGTACCTATGAGGAATGGTGCCTCATAGCAGGAGATGAGTGACAGGCAAGTGAACATTACTGCCTAAGCTTCGCCTACTGTCAGATCAGCGGTGGCCTTAGATTCTAAAAGGAACACAGACCCTATTGTGAACTGCACATGTGAGGGATCTAGGTTGAGTGCTCCACATGAGAATTCAACTAATAATGCCTGATGATCTGAGGTAGAACAGTTTCATCCCAAGATCACCACCCTGCCCCACCCCCAGGTCCATGGAAAAATTGTTTTTTAAGAAACCGGTCCCTGGTGCCAAAAAGGTTGGGGACCGTTGTTACACAAATAAAGTGCTATAGACTTTAATGGCTTTTGTAAGATAATCTCTAATTAATTAAAGTTAAAATAACAATTTGGGAGCTGAAAAACTTGAGTTTGAATCCACCACACTAACTAATGGCATAAATGGGTACAAATGTCAATTAACTTTCTGCAACTCAGTTCATTATGTATAAAAAGGAGACAAAACCAAATTTATGGACTTGCAGTAATACTCTGAATTACAAAATAGATCATTTTTAATCTAAAATCTCCAACAAGATGTGACTTGTTACCAGTAATGTCACAAAATAGAGCAGCATTCAAGAATTAAGCTTTATAAGTCTTCTTATTTGGCTCAACATCAACTTAATTTCAATGTGCATGTATGTGTGTGTATGTGTGTATGTATGTGTCTATATACTATAAACATTTATTTTAAAATTTTGAAGTAGACTTCATCAACACTTTTCATTGTTTCCTCCCTAGGCCACAGATTCTAATTTGGATTGTCAACATACCACTATTCATTACATAACTTCTATGAAATAACAAAAGTATTATACAGCATGTAAGCATTCAAATTTTTTTTAAATTCCGTTAAAAGGATTTTCTTATTCATACTCATATTTTCCATTAATCAGTGCTTAATATAAACATTCTCTGCCTGAAAAAAATACTGGTGCACAAATATTTAGAGAAACAATAAAAGGATGGATTTATAACCATTAGTGGAAGGATTGCTTCTTCAAAAAGAGTCATTTCAAATGTATATTTAGACAACTATAAATTAGGATGCTCTTAATTTAGAAAGTAATGATAAAGTAGTTCTTAGTGAAGAGAAACACAAGTCCCAAAAGAATCTCCTTAAAATACTATTTTTAAATACATTACAAATTTGTCAGACATTTATTTGCCATACTTCATAGAACATTTTAAATTTTAGTATAAGTAAAGGGTAAGATGAGAAAACAAAAGTAGTAAGATTGAGATTGCATACATATTTCCTTCCAAATGTAATGAGCATACACGGAATATTCTAACTAAACTAAACTGAAAGAGGTTTGTCCCTTGCCACATTATTTACCACTGATCCATATAGCAACAGTAGCTCTTTTTCCAAATGCCATGAGATATATATGATGCTTCGAAAATGCTAACTGTGAAAGAAGACAAAAAAGCTAATGTGTGATAAACTCAATGGAATTCCAAAACAGCTGGTTTTCTTGTGCAACTGCTGGTTTAGACATTACGATAGAGGAATAGAAAGTTTTTGGTTTTAAATAGTTTAAATATGGCCTGGCAATATGTAATTGTTAATGATTGCTAGGAAATAACCAGGTGGGTTGATAGCAATTTGGTATGTCATAATTTTAAGAAAAATATGCAATTTAAAAATGATTTTAAATTCAAAAAGTGTAAGTAGAAAATGTTCCAGATAACACCATAAACCTATATGAATAATTTCACAATGTTTAACTCTTATCAAAATAATCAGTTAAACACATTCATTTAAATAACAATGTTAATATTCACACACAAAAAACAGCCTTGCTTGACTGTTTACTTATATATTAGTTGATTCTCACAGCAATAAAGACATACCTGAGACTGGGTAATTTATAAAGAAAAGAAGTTTACTTGACTCACAGTTCTGCAAGCTGTAGGGGAAGCATAGCAACTTCTCCTTCTGGGGAGGCCTCAGAAAGTTTCCAGTCATGGGGGAAGGCAAAGGGGGACTAGGCGTCGTACATGGGCAGAAACAGAAGAAAGGAAACTATCACACACTTTTAAACTAACAGATCTCATGAGAATTCACTCCCCATTGCGAGGACAGTTCCAAAAGAATTGCACTTAAACCATTCATGAGAAACTTACCCTCATGATCCAACCACTTTCCACTAGGCCCCATCTCCAGCACTGGGGATGATGTTTCAACATGAGATGTGGGCGGGAACAACATCCAAACTGCATCAGCTGAATTTATTGAAGTGTATAGATACACACTTTAAAATAATAGATGCTAAACATGTTATGTATGCAGGCCTTGTATGCAGAGAGATGAAAAATACTAATAGTCAAATAAGGCAAAGCTGTACCTAGTATAGATTTATTCATTTATTTATAAATGTATTTATTTGTAAATGTATTTATTTATGTATTTATTTTTACTACATTTTAAGTAGTATTAGAGGCTTAGAGCATACTTCCTTTCTTATAATTTCCCATGTGTGGTGTGCTTCTATGTGTGTATGTATATATACAAGTTTTTAATTCTCAGATTCTGATGAAATGCTGAAAAAACTTCATGATTATTATTACATTTGGCACTTTCCAATAACTCCCGCTTTTTTGGCTTTGCAGACACTGGAAAGACATTAAATGGAATTAACTGTGGAAAGTCCCTGGGATTCTTCATTTGAGTACTCCTTTCCCCAGAATTGTGCATGGAAATCTCCTTAAAGATTCACATTGCTAAATTAAAGATTGAAAAATATAAGAAAATAAGTTATATAATAAACTAAAGCTTTAAAGCATATTATAGATAGCTCCTAAAGTTTGTGGTCCCAACAGTCCTAACTCACTGCAGTGGATTAGCTTGTAGTTATATGAACAAAATTACTGGACCATGGCATGGTTTGTCTGGTGAGCTCAACCGTCTTATCTGATTTGAATTATCCCACAGTCACTCTAATCAATTCAGCTGAGATCAGTGGTTAAATATGGCTGAAAAAAAAATCAACCATGAAGCGGTCAATTTAGAGACAGCCTAAAGATACAGACATACTGTGGGGAGAATAGATTCTAATGATATCAAAAATGAATAAAACAGCTGAAAATAAGGTACAATAAAATAGAATTATTTTAACCCTTGAAATCCTCTCTCTCTCTCTTTCTCTCTCTCTCTCTCTCTGTCTGCAGGGGGTGTGTGTGAGTGTGTATGTATAACTTGCAAGAAGCAGTTTCACAAGATAATATGGACTTTTCTCTAATTCAACAGCCACTTCTTTTCTTTATGAATTTTTAGTAAAAACAGGAAAAATAAATCACAATTTATATAGAAATTTTCTCTAGAAATATCCTCTATTTACACCACCTATTCACTCTTCATTCAGAGAGTAATGAAAAGCATAATCCTCTGCTAAGTTTGCTGTGGAAAATCCCATTGCATCTCAAAGCAGTAATCTTTCTAGTCAAAAGATAACATTTTTAAAGGTTGAATTGGACCCCTGTGTTTTTCTTAACTAGACACCTGAGAATGAAAAAACGCATCTGTCAAGAGATCTCCTGGCTGGCGTTACAGGAAACTTAATCCACTTACGCACTAGTGTGATGTTCTGCTAGCAGTAAGCCAGGACATACTAATTAAATGCTTCGATTCTTTATTTAAAAGTTTCATTCTTTCACCCCTGCCCTCACTCAGAAAATGATGTCCAGTGCAAAGTGTTTTCGGGAATTTGAAAACAAAGTAAGAAAAAAAGAAAGTGAGCAAATTCCTTAGAAACTGAGTAAGTAAAGAAACATATTACAAGCTACATAATTGTAGCTATAAAACAAAAAACAAAAAAAAGAAAACATCCTGAAGACATAAGAAACATTTAAATGATTTTAATATAAAATATTTCAAGCAGATCCCATGCAGTTAACTGAATTTGTCTAGAACTAAGGACACACCCACAAAGCAAACAACAAGTAAGTGACCAAATTTCGAAGAGCTAACTTTGGAAGTAAAAAAATTTTGACACGTCAGACAGAGACTGGTATTGTCATTACAGAATCTCCTTCCATTTAAAAAGTGTATTATATGTATTACTAGTTAAAAGATGGCCTTTCTTTCTATAGAGAACACAACCTATCCATATAAAGTAGATGAGACTGAAGTCTTAGCCAAACTTTCAAGATAAGACAGTTTTTCATTTTCTTTCCATCAAATCTAGCATCAATAACTTTACAATGAAAATCTATTCCGTATGTGTCTATGTATACACTTGTTTGAACAAACCTATTAATGTTATACATAGTTTATATGTGTGTAAATGAACTTTTGTACTTACGCAGCAACCTGCTGTCATTAGTTTTCTCAAGCACTATTCAGCAATTTGCTTTGTTTTCTCAAAAATCAATGAAGAATGGCAAATGTTCCTTAAAGAGCAAAGGCTGACATTATTGTGTTCATTATTGAGCACCACCTGACATAACTAGATAAAAAAGAACTATGTACTGATCTTGCAGTAAGAACTATATCAACTGAAAAATATTTACTGTTCCTATTAAAAATGAATTAACCCAGACAGCCTTTTAATTGAAATCTTTATCACATTTTCTTCCTATTTAAATGCAAATGTAAAATCCTTTTACAAACTAATAGAAATCAGAAACTGAAAACTGAACTACAACTTTGTAATGATATAGTCACCTAAAATAAGTAGGTTCAACATAACATATGAAATACTAAAAGCACTAACATGACTTTTATAGAATTCAAAATATTTTTTCTATTATTTTAAGAATTTCTAAAATAATTGCTTACTTCAAACATCGAGCTTTATTTTTCATACCAATTGATATCTCAGATATTTTTCAATTCCTTTTTAGAATCAGAGAAAATAATGTTTGTCTTTATACATTGCTATCTACGTCACTCTAATCTGCATTATAACACTTCTTTCTATATGATGTACTAATAAATGCTTATATTGTGAACACATTGTTTATTTAAGCTTAAGCAGATCAATGCATAAGTTAGGTACTATGACCAGAAGTTGTGACTTCGCCACAGCCTGAAAGAGAAATAAAATTTGAAAATTCCTTCATGGTTCCACCTGCAAATATATATACATATATTCTGTATATATATGTATACAAAAATTTTGTCTATATATGTATATATATATAAGAATTTTATATTCAGGATTCAGTAGCATTGAATGGATAAATTGGAGGTTACACTGTGCAGTAGCTCTGGAACTTTGCTATATAAAATTTTCATCAAATTTCTTTAAACTTTATGAATTTGAATTTCTGATTAGTTATTATAACAGCTTTTTAAAAAGTCTAATATTTGGGGGAGTTATGCAAGCTGAAATTCAAAGGTATCTGTTTCTTACATAAAGTACTACAGTTCTGTAGAGGGCAAGCTGGAATCACACTTTAGGTTTCTTGAGTACAGGCCAGCCTGTAGAATTTGATGGAATGTATAGCTCTCAGATAGTTAATTTAGTGTTTAACTGTACAAACATGCTATATTATACATTTGCTTTGGCCTCTTGTTCACTAGTTAGCTTCCAGATGTGAAGCAAGTGATCTTACCAGTGAGGAAGAGAAGATTCACTGTGCTGGGTAAGGATGAGGATGTTACTAGAAAGTAGCACCTTGATTATTTTACTCCCTCTACTCCTGATGCACACTTAACACTACTTAATATAAAATATACACACTCTACTCCTGATGCACACTTAACACTACTTAATATAAAATATACACAGTGGCCCTCAGAATACAGTTTTTCAAAATGTTACTCCCGTTAATGCAAAAGTTTGCACTGACAGATCTAAATCATTACTGATTCACAAGATCTTGAATTTTAAAATTAAAATGAAATATGTACTTATACACAGTTGCAAAATGCTTATAGTACAAATCTGTATATTTCTGGTTGCACAACATTTGAAGATCAAAAACAAAAACAAGACCCCCATGACCTGTATATTGTATTTTATTGATATCCCTTAAGTATCTTTTGATGTCCAATAAGTTTTCTGCTGTCTCTATCCCCCAGCATTGATCTGTTGAAGAAACTAATCATTTGTCTAGCAGAGTTTTGCTAAGTCCTCTGAATTTGTAGCATGTTTTTCATAATAATCTTTGTGGAAGTGTTTATCAAACTTTTTTGCAGCCAGGGTATAGGTATGCGACCCATGCATGGCCCATCGGTCACTCTCACCTTGAATTGGGAGCTATATGAAAGAAGCAAGGTCTGTAGAGACTCTCTTCGCTTAAGGGACCACATTGTGATATCTGGGATCTTAAGGCAGCAAATTTAGTGGGGATTCCTGGTAGGTATCAATACCAGCTATGCTGGAGGGGCACCTGCAAATGCTGGTGTCCAGTGGCCCTGGAAGCAAAGTACTTCCTGCTTAGAATCTGTGATGTGATTTGGACACCCGTTCTGGACAAAGAGTTTTCTATATCCCTGTCCATTTTCCTAAGTTTGGTACTCTGGGCTTGGGGCAATTCAGTGACTCCCCCACGATTTCCTTCAATAAATGTACATTCTGCATAAATCAGAGATGATATCTGCTTCTTGCCAATTAGAGCTTTGACAAATACAATGCCCAATAAAAATGCAAAGCATTGTTAAAAGTTCTTAAGTAAAAACTAAAATAAAGAGGGGAAAAACCTGGCCTTAAATTGAGCAAACCACAATTTAGTTGAGAATTAGAGAAATAATTATCAGATGGAAATTACTAAAAGTCACTAGGAGACTTTGATATTCATATGTCTAACAGCGCTTACTCCAACGTTGATTGTTTGTTCCTTAATGTAGGGAGGCTGGGCAAGCCATAGCTAATTACCTGATTACTGTTTTCAAGAGGCTCACCCAGGGGCAGCGTAGAGGCTCCTTTTCTTAACCTTTTAAAGGAAGATCCTAACTCTGTGCTTCTTGAATGTAAGAAACAGTGCAGTCTGTGCCTGGAAGAAACATCTCAGCTTTGTGATTTCCTAAGAATTTGCTTTACATAGACCACTGATGAGAGTTGCTGAGTCCATCCCATAATTCTGTCTTAATGTAATTAGGGCCATAAGAATCAAGTAAAATCTTGGGTCACATGATTGTGAGCCTAATGGAAAAACATGTTTGTACGTGTTTGTGTGTGCATATGTGTGTGTGTGTCTGTGAGTTTGTGTGTGTCTTTTCTGTTGGTTTGTGTAGACACAGATAATATAAAGCTATAATAATTCTAAGGGATATTCTTTATCTCCCTTCTGTGTGTTTTTCCTATGTCCTGTTCCCCACAGATTCTATTTTTTTGTTTGTTTGTTTTATTCCCTAATTTTGGAATACTATCTCCTGCAGTGGCTTTCAGAGAAAAGATATATGAAATTGAATTTTATCTGGACATTCAGAGCTTTAAAAAATCTTTTTGCTATTGATATTTTCAAACACATACAAAGGAAGAAAAGATAATGCACTCGTCTTCCAATGCTCATCACGAAGCCTTACACCAATCAACTTCCTGCTATATTGTTTAATCTACTCACACCCCTTCATACTTTTTTTCGCAGGGGAGAAGGGAAAGGACTGATTTTAAAAAAAAAATGCCTGAAATCATATGATGTCAGTTGTAAATATTTCAGAATGCATGTATCTCTTATAAAAGCTACTTTAAAAAAATGAGAACACAGTGGAAATAGTACAACCCCAAAATTAAATAATTCTTTAATATTATTTAATATCCAGGTCATGCTCAGTTTTTCCCTGTTTCTATTGTTTTAAGTTGGCTGATATGAATAAAGATTAAAAAAAAACACAAGGACCCTATGATCTGCATATTCCATTTTGTTCATATCTCTTAAGTTTCTTTTGATACCCAAAAATTTTTCTGTTGACTCTATAACCCAGGATTAATTTATTGATGAAAATAGTCATTTGTCTAGCAGAGTTTTGCCAATTCTGTCTTACTGACCTTAACATGTTCTATTGCTCCCTGATCTTCTAGCTTCTAGGGTTGCTCTGAGAAGTTCAAAGAACACCTCATATATTCTCTTTCATCTGCTTCCAATGACATTGTAGAATATTTATTTTGCTCCTTTAAAATGGCACACATTAAGCAAGATGTTGTCTCTAAAAAATAATTATAAAGTAAAATAAAATGGGATACATTAATTTGGCGTTATTTTCATCTATTTTGTCAGTCATTCTGCGGACTCTTTCCATTTGGAAACTGTATATTTTCTTTAATATTTTATTGATGATTTCACTTCTGCTTTCTCAGTTCTTCTTTTGAATTTCATAAATTTTTATATTGGGACTTCTAGAGTGATTCTTCATATTTCTTATGAATTCTATCTTATTTTTCATATCTTTGCCTTTTTGATGTATTTCAGAAAGGGAGCATCATTCGATCTTCCTAGTCTTCTAGTAAGGTTTTGTTTTTGACTGATGTCTTTTTAATTTTCAGGAACTCTATTTTCTTCTTTTATAGCACCTTGTTCTTGTTTCATGAATGTAATACCTTCTCTTATCTTTCTGAGGATATCAGTAATTTTAATTTCATAATCACTTCCTAGTCTTTAGTACCTCCAAGTTGCTATTTGTTTGTTTGTTTGCCTATTTTGGTGTTTGTCTTTCATGTTAAAAGGTTTCTATGTATACTTATTTATCTCAGATTTTCTTCTAAGGCTTCAAAAGAAATCACTGTAAGCTCTTTGCTGGTATAAAGTTTACTACCTTTGGGCTTCTCTGTAAGGTTTTCTGGTGGGGCCATTTTATCTTAATATGAATGCATTCTAATTTTCTTTTTAGGCTTTTCAGATACTTCAGAAAGCAATTTTCCTGAATACCCTATAGACAATTGTAGGAATTAGAAGGCTTGTATCTCTGCTTTGGTGTGCAAATGTTCAATTATTTGACTTGTATTAAGTATGAAATATCTGCTCTTCACGTTCCCTAGTGTTCCCCTTTGTAGAGACACCCTCTGCTTTATGGAATGCTAAGAATAAGTCAACACTTTTCTTTAGAGATTAGGAAGAATTATTGTTGCAGAATCTAGATGGAGGCTCGGACACCAAGTTGATGTACAGGATATTTATTGAGGTGCTTCTTTGTGTTCAAGCCCTGTGGACGGGAAAGGAAGAAATTATGTTTGGGCAGAGGGAGAAATCCAGCTGTGATACTGGCCCAAAGATAGATTGTCTGACCCCCCAGAGAGGTCTGGAACTAGAACAGTCCTTCAGAGTTGTTCCCTGTTGGACTTAGATAGTTACACCTTACCCTACTGCATTGATTAGCCATTAGATGTAGGCCACAGAAAGCTGAGATTGTTTTCTGTAGCTGAGACAATCCCTGAGGGTGCTGACACCTGATGCCTGTCTGAGGCAGTACTCACAGCACTGGGTAAACAAGTCCTTCTTTGAAGAAAAACCCAGCCTGGCATTACAGTGTCTGGTGGCACAGGGATTCACAGAGCTACATGCAGGGGTGGGAAGCATGTCTGTGGGGGGACGGATCCTAACTGCTTCTTCAGCCATCGTTCAAACAATCCTCTCTGCCTTTACCCTCAATTCAAGAAACATCCAATGTTGCCCATCTGTACATATTTAGGGTTCTATGGTGTAAACGTGGTTCTCAGCCTTCCCCACTGCCAGTTTAGAATTTAGCTCTATTAGGCTGTGTCAGTTACATGCATCTGTCACTCTAGATTCCAAAAAGTTAGTTGCTGTTTTATCTTTTCCTGTTTTGTTTATCCTTGTGGGTTTATGAGTCTTTGAATCTTTATCTCTTATTTTAGTGGAAAGCAAAAACATGAATGTGTCTAAACTCCATCTTTATACATACACCCTGGCTTCACCATCAATATGTAAAATTATGTGCTTCCCTCTGCTTCACTTTTTGTTTAATTTTTTCAAAATTACTATGCATTTTAGGAATTTAGAAACTTACACAATTCTCTTTCCCTATATATACAGGAATTAAGAGGAAATTATTTTTTAAATGTCATCTCTAAGTTTGGAATTTTTCTAAGCACAAGTATTTAATAATCTCTAATAGCTTCAATAAGTATTTTTCTAAATATTAGAAAAGTAGCACTTTGGGAGGCCAAGGCGGGTGGATCACTTGAGGTCAGGGGTTCAAGACCAGCCTCGCCAACATCATGATACCCCTTTTGTAATAAAAATACAAAAAAAATTGGCCAAGAGTGGTGGCACACACTTCTAATCCCAGCTACTCAGGAGGCTGAGGCAGGAGAATCACTTGAACCCAGGAGGCAGAGGTTACAGTGAGCTGAGATCATGCCATTGCATGCCAGCCTGGGCAACAGAGCGAGACTCTGTCTCAAAAAAGAAAAAGAAGAAAAGAATATGCTTTCACCTTGTCCATCCAGGTGCATTCTATTTTAAGATGTTTTAAGGTAGCTGTGACAGAGGGATATACTTCTTTCCAATTTGGGTCTCTCTAAACTATCATTTTCCAACTACTGGGATCTGAATAAAAACTATTCAGAGTAAGTAGTTAGGATTTATCTCTCAAAATGAATTCTGTGTATTGTGTCCAACTTGGAGTTTTCCAGTCCATTTTAAAGGAGGAAGTAGTATTGACTTCCTCCATTCCCTGTCCCTAGGTAGAATCATAATTTATATTTAAAGGTCTTGGTGTAAAATAAATGGCATTTGTATTTTTGCTCAGAATTTAACCTTCTTGCATACTTGAAGCTTGAGATAAATATTTTTAGATTGCTCTTGGTTTTGAAATTTATTTTCAAAACACTCTTTCAAAACACTCCTAAAGATTTTAATTAATAATCATCTATAATAAGTGTTCATGTAGCAAGTGGATACATGCCCTGTACTAAGTTTTGCCCTTTTAATCACTTTTCTATTGAATTTGCCATTTCCTGCCTACATCTCAGTTTTGAAATATATATATATACACACACATAAAAATATACATATATACATATAAAAAAGAACAAATATTTAGAAAAGAAATAGAGATTAGTAATTCAGTTACCATAACACTAATGCTGCTGCTGAGTCCAATGGAAGGGAACATTTATCATTTGTCACAAAATAACAACATTAAGATCTGTCTGAGTAATCCACAAGCCATAGAAATAACTTAATGTGGTTCTTGAGTTCACTAGCTCAGGTCAATCTTGTGAATATGCAAACCCTGCAAGTGCCGATGTGAAAGGAGAGTACTGTGCCTGGCTATGGGAAAGAGATTCACTCATTATAATACTAAATACATGGAGTGAATCATACATCACACCGGGTGATATAAGCTGACATATAGAAGGATATACTTACATATAAGTAAGCTAAAGCTGACAATATTTTTTTTCCTTCCCGGAAATCTAGTAAGTGCTGAATAAGCTTTTTATTTGATCTTCCTTTAATGCAAGCATCAGCTGTTCAGTATAGAGGGAGCTGACAGAGGGGAAAAAAAGCCAACTCCATCTCCCAACACTTGTCTCTAAAAGGTTCCTTTCTAGTAAATGGCAGTCTATTAAGGTTCTTCCTAGACTTAATCAAAGTGCTGTACAGAAAGATCTGCCTCTGTGTGAACAGCTCTCTACTCTCTCAGTGAGAGCCCAGGTCTCTAATTTTGTTGCTGGCCTAGTCCTGCTAAGCCCACACTCTGCACAGTGTGTGGCTTCTCACTCCCCGTGGTTCTCAGTGGCAACAGGAAGCTGGGGGAGAGGCTGCAGTGCCAGCCTGGCAGGCAGGCATGCTGTCAAGATTGCCTTCTTCTCTTCTCTGCAAATAAGGGGCTAAATCCAATTGACACACACTGAAGTAAACAGGCAGTGACATATTTGTAGACAAATTGTCATACTGTAGATTACTCACAAAACAAATTGTTTTTTATTTACACTCATAGATTGAGGGGAAAAATATCTGCCAGCACTAAACAGCTGCTCCCTTTTCAAGGGAAACAAGTATTTAATGAAAAAGTTAATTTAAAAATAATGTTCTACTGTTGCTAAAATTCCTTAGGGAAAATGTTTAACACTGCTCAAAACTAGAGGAAAAGATATATTTTCATGTCCATGTAGAACTATCCTAGTTTCTCTAGGGAATGCAATAGATCTGCAGTTATATTCTTAGAATCATTCAAACTTTTTTTAGTGTTCAGAGAATATTTGTAATCATAAAATAATATAATAATAATTATCCATGTTTTTTTTTCCTGTGACCTTCTTCTCATTCATCAAACACTTAATGGTTGCCTTAACATAATATATGAGATTAAAAGAATTTATCTCATCTTCATGGGGAGTCTACTTTGTTAATTAATGCACAAGCCTATATCCCTGGTGGCTCTTTTAAAATCACCTGGAAGGCATTAAGGAAGCTGCCTAGACTGAGAATTGACATGGATTCCATCACCATCTTAAGAGCAGGTTGGCTTTCACCAAGACCTTGACTCATTATGCTTGCTGTAGGGGGTGACATCACCTTTTATGGCTGTCTCTTCTCTTTAAGAAAACAATCTTTACTGACATTTGTCTTAATCACTCCTCTAATTCTGCATGTCTTACACTGCTACAACAAAATATCATAGACTGAGAGGCTTAAACCCCAGACATTTCTGGAGCATGGAAATTCTAAGATCAGGGTGTCTGTGGCTGGTTTCTGATAAAGACTGTCTTCCCGGCTTTCAGAAGGCTGTTTTCTTGCTGTGTCCTCACATGGCAGAGAAACAGAGAGCTCTGCTGTCTCTTCCTCTTCTAAAGCCACTAGTCCAATCATGGAAGCTCTACTCTCACAACCTCATCTAAACCTAATTACCCCCCAAACGGCCCCATCTCCTAACCCCATCACATTGGGAGTGAGAGCCTCAATATATGAATTTGGAGTAGTGGGGGGTGGTGGGACAAGCATTTAGTTCATAATAACATCATTGATTATAAGCAAACTTCAGTTCCCTGATGCCTAATTCCAGACCTGCGTTCCACTGCACTTATACAGTTTCCTAATTCTATAATTTCTTCCTTAATTTTTTCAAAGGAAATCTCATTTCCTTTATTTTATTTCTTTTGATTTAGCTGTAACGGGTCAACTGACTAATCTGACCAATAAATTTGAACCTGTTATATATTCAGAGATGAGAGTTACAGGACAACTTGCAAGTAATGTGTGTGCAGGCTGATCATTTTAACCTATACAATTTTTTTAAAAAGAAAAAGCAAACACATTTTTGGGTAGTCTAACCTATTAGTGCTACTCTAGTCATTCTCTGCAGGTTTCAATCTAGCTTAATCTAATCTACCACCTTGTAGAACGAATTTTGCTCCAGGGTGCGTCTCTTCCTTTCCTTCCCACATTAAGTTGTGAAAAATATATCTAATTTTAGCCATTAACATTCTTTGGGTCTGATCAGATAAACCAAATACGGCAAATCTAGTTAATATTTTGTAACTTATGTCCCATCTTTTAGCATTACTATTTAAAACTCATCTCTTCTCAACCTCTCTTAATCTTATTTCCTCTTTAATGGCATTATGACTGAATACTTTATCTACACTCATTGCTTTATATAATTTACACTATACAGCATTGTTTTCTTGAATTTTTTAATACTTTAAAATATTGAGAGTATATATCTCGTATAATGTTTTTCCACTAAAGAAAATAATTTATATGCAATTTAAAAGCATTTCAAACATTAATTTTCTTCTACATTTCTGTTTATTATCTTCAATATTTGATCCCAAATACAGCATCTAATGATTTCTTCTTAGTGCAAATAATTAAGAACATAGCGTTTGTCAAAATGTGTCAAAACCAGGAAGAACCTTATAACATTTTTGAAGTTGTTATTCTCTATTATAGACAGTGATTGCATTATTTTCAGAGAAGAAGGAAAACATTGTCTCACTGTACTACTGGTCTCTCTTATTTACACTCCTGTTTATTTATCCATATAATAATATTTTCCCTCAAAATATTTTAATATCTTTAAGTCATTTTTCTCCTCCATTAGAAAATTCTTTCCAGAAAGGAGATAATTTACTACATGTAAAATGACTTATATTGACTTACTGATAAAAACAGCCCAGTAATAAGAATCTCTTCTTTCCTTTCATCTGTACTGTCTCCAGAGCACTGTCTCAACCTGCCCTAGAAGTACTACCACCAGAGAATTGAACTCCTCCACTGGGTGATCCTAACTGCCATTTCTGAAATAACTAGAAAGAAGAGAGGGAACATAGAAAGGAATTCCACACTTTCTCGGAAATAGAGCATCTTTATCTTTGACTCTGCAAAGATGATGAAATATCAGTACAATGACTGACACTAACATTTATTAACATAAATGAGTAAAACAGAATATTTTGAGATGTACATAGTCTTGGGGAGAATCAGACATGGAAACAAAATATTAATGAGATAAACATAATAATAAAGGTATATACAAAGTTTTATAGTTGCAAAGAGCTAGAATGAAATAATATTTTGGTGGTGAGAGTGTAGGAAAGCTTCACCAAGGAGATGATATATAATTTGAGTAGTATTAGATGTGGAGACCTCCATGTGTTGCTTGAGTAAAGACATGAATGTGAGAAAGAGCATGGAGTATTCAAGAGGCAGGCATTGGTAGGATGTGGCTCAAGAAGAGCATTGCTCTATCTCAGGAAATGAGAAGAAATAAAGCTATGCTGTTCCCTGCGCAGGCCACACATAAAAAATCTGGAAATCAAACTCCTCAAAGTTTGAATTTTATCATGATGTAAGTGATTGAGATGTGATTTATGATTATCCAGCTGAGAATCAGAAAGAATATGGGGAGGCAGGTTAGATTAATGTTAAAACACTTGTGCTTTGAAGTCATACAGAGCTGTATTTGAGGCCTGACTCTATCACTCATGAGTTGTTTAGGGTAATTCATTTAAATTCTTTAGGCTTTAACTTCTTTTTTGCAAAGTAAGAATAATAATATTTTTATTTTCTATCCTATGGAGACTTGTGAGGATCAATGAGATAATATGTTAGAATTTAGCAATACTCTGTTTGAACATGGTAAGTGCTCAAAAAAAACTGTTATTCTTTATCTCCATAGAAAAAAGATAAAACAAGGTCGTTGCATCACATAGTTCCATTGTTTTGTAGCTCAAGTATTCAAAATGTTTTGCTTATGTTGGTTTTGTCTGTTGGAATAGGAAGAATAGCAGGTTAGCCAGCGGTAAGATCAGAATAGAAAGTCCATATACCTTCCTAGTCGCTACATGAATCAGCCTTCGTGGAACAGGTGTGGGTAAACAGGCTCAGTAGCAAAAAATCAAGAAGTATCATGAAATGTTAATATCTCGAGCTCAGCTTGACTCTGTTTCTGCCTTTCTAGTGCTCACACTATTGCTCTAAACATGTCACCTCTAGTTAGATTGGTGCTAAACTAAACTCATTATCTAATCCCTACAACATTTCCACTTCAACACCCAAACAACTCTGCTCAAATTAGAGAATTAAAATTGCCAATAAGTATTGATCATTAAATCCTGTGGATTTTGCTTTCAAACACATATTCCTCTCTTCACTTCCACCCCAGGTGTTGAGCCACCATTGCTCTTGTTGGGTTATTTCAACATACTAGTAACTGTCTGCATTTCCTCCAATCTATCTTTATACAACTGGTCGAGTTGTGACTTTTGTGTTTCTTTTAGTTTTATTTAAGGCTCGGGGGTACATATGAAGTTTTGTTACATAGGCAAACTCATGTCATGGGAGTTTGTTGTACAGATTATTTCATCATTTAGGTATTAAGCCCAATAACCAATAGCTGTCTTTCCTGCTCCTCTCCCTCCTTCCAA